>NT_187688.1:0-163458 GCF_000001405.40 Homo sapiens
GAATTCTTCCCTGAGACTTTGTCTCTCTGAGTATCATCTTGCCAACTATCTAGGAGCACTGAGGTTGAAAAAAAGGGTGGGAGCGGTGGCTCACACCTTTAATCCCAGTACTTTGAGAGTCTGAAGCAGGAGGATCGCTTGAGGCCGGGAGTTCGACACCAGCCTAGGCAACATAGCAAGATTCCACCTCTACAGAAATAAAAAAATTACCCAGGCATGGTTGTGTGTGCCTGTAGTCCCAGCTACTCAGAAGGCCAATTACACCGCTGAACTTCAGCCTGGGTGACAGAAGACCCTGTCTCTCTTTCTCTCTCTCTCTTTCTTTCTCTCTCTCTCTCTTTCTTCTCTCTCTCTCTCTCTCTATATATATATGTTTAAAAAGAAAAAAGAAAGAAGTTTGAGAACAGCTAGGGAACTAATGAAAACCCAAAAGAGTCAGTTTCTAAGAGAAAAAAAAAGGCAAGTTTTCTTGGTTTCTTCTTGGTTCAGAGACTCAGAGGCTAAGGTAATATTCACGAAGATGGTATGTGGCTAGTGCAGGTGCTGTGAAATATTTTAAACAAAAAAAGCCAATATTTAAACATTCTGCCTGGGAAATATTTTTCTTTATTTATTTAATATCTATTTTTATTATTATTATTATTATTTTTATTTTTTAAGACACAGGGTCTCGCTATCTTGCCCAGGCTGGTCTCAAACTCCTGGCCTCGAGTGATCCTCCCACCTTGGCCTCCCAAAATGCTGGGATTACAGACATGAGCCACCATGCCTGGCCTCTGCCTGGGAAATAATTTTTTTTTAAAAAGTGGTTATGGTCAATAATATTAGCTTCTTGGTAGTCTGTGACCAGGGCAAGAGTATATGCATTTACCCCTTGGGTTTTTTACCAGATTGGCACAGATGTTAACAACGAAAAAGAAAAGTAGAAATTTAATTTATTTTTAAGAAAGATAATGCTATAATTCAAGTTGAGAGAGTTAACCCGGCTTATAGCAGGGGTACTGTTTGCCTCTTCCCATGGAGTTTAACACAGTTAATTCACCATTCTAGTCTAACCTCACCTTCCTCCTCACAAGGAAGACAGGCGGGAGCTGGAGAAGACCATTGGCTATATTCCTGCAACTGTGCTTTTTCTAGGCGATTTGAAGCAGTGCTTATCAGGGGCCTTCCTCTGTGGGAATCCTGCACCCCCATCTCTCTCTCCTTTTTTATTTTATTTATTTATTTTTTTTTTGAGACAGAATCTTGCTCTGTCGCCCAGGCTGCAGTGAAGTGGCATGATGTCTGCTCACTGCAACCTCCACCTCCTGGGTTCAAGCAATTCTCCTGCCTCAGCCTTTTGAGTAACTGGGATTACAGGCACCCACCACCACGCCCAGCTATTTCTGTATTTTTTTTTCTAGTAGAGACGGGGTTTTGCCATATTGCCCAGGCTGGTCTCGCACTCCTGACCTCAAGTGATCCACCCATCTCAGCCTCCCAAAGTGCTGGGATTGCAGGTGGGGCTACCATGCCCGGCCCCATCTCTTATTATTTTTTTATCCCCCAAATATGTACAGTTGTGATATATTAATTTTTCATTTTTTCTTTTTATTTCTTTTCATTTTTACTTTAAGTTTCAGGATACATGTGCAGAACGTGCAGGTTTGTTACACAGGTATATATGTGCCATGGTGGTTTACTGCACCTATCAACCCATCACCTGCATGTATTAGCTATTTATCCTGACGCTCTTCCTCCCCTTGTCCCGTCCCTGACAGGCGCCAGTGTGTGTTGTTCCCCTCTCTGTGTCCATGTGTTCTCATTGTTCAACTCCAACTTATGAGTGAAAACATGCAGTGTTTGGTTTTCTGTTCCCCTGTTAGTTTGTTGAGGATGATGGCTTTCAGCTTCATCCATGTACCTGCAAAGGACGTGATCCCATTCCTTTTTCATGGCTGCATAGTATTCCGTGCTGCATATGTACCACATTTTCTTTATCCAGTCTATCACTGATGGACATTTGGGTTGGTTTCATGTCTTTACTATTGTAAATAGTGCTGCAGTAAACATACGTGTGCATGTATCTTTATAACAGAATGATTTATATTCCTTTGGGCATATACCCAGTAATGGGATTGCTGGGTCAAATGGTATTTCTGGTTCTAGATCCTTGAGGAATCGCCACACTGTCTTCCACAATGGTTGAACTGATTTACACTCCCACCAACAGTGTAAAAGCGTTCCTATTTCACCACAGCCTTGCCAGCATCTGCTGTTTCTTGACTTTTTAATAATTGCCATTCTGAGTGGTGTGAGATGATATCCCTTTGTAGTTTTGATTTGCATTTCTCTAATGATCCATGATGATGAGCCTTTTTTCATATGTTTGTTGGTGGCATAAATGTCTTCTTTTGATAAGTGTCTGTTCATATCCTTTGCCTGCTTTTTGATGGGGTTGTTTATTTTTTTCTTGTAAATTTAAGTTCCTTGTAAATTCTGGATATTAGACCTCTGTCAGATGGTTAGATTGCAAAAATTTTCTCATTTTGTAGGTTGCCTGTTTGCTCTGATGATAGTTTCTTTTGCTGTGCAGAGCTCTTTAGTTTAATTAGATCCCATTTGTCAATTTTAGCTTTTGTTGCAAGTGCTTTTGGAGATTTCATCATAAAATCTTTGCCTATGTCTATGTCCTGAATGGTATTGCCTAGGTTTTCTTCTAGGGTTTTCATGGTTTGGGGTTTTACATGTAAGTCTTTAACCTGCCTTGAGTTAATTTTTGTATAAGGTGTAAGGAAGGGGTCCAGTTTCAGTTTTCTGCATATGGCTAACCAGTTTTCCCAGCACCATTTATTGAATAGAGAATCCTTTCCCCATTGCCTGCTTTTGTCAGGTTTGTCAAAGATCAGATGGTTGTAGATGTGTGGTCTTATTTCCAAGGTATCTATTCTGTTCCATTGGTTTATATGTCAGTTTTGGTACCAGTACCATGCTGTTTTGGTTACTGTAGCCTTGTAGTATAGTTTGAAGTCAGGTAGCCTCCCACTTTGTTCTTTTTGCTTAGGATTGTCTTGGCTATTTGGGTTCTTTTTTGATTCCATATGAATTTTAAAGTAGTTTGTTCTCATTCTGTGAAGAATGGTAGTTTTCACATCCTTTGTTAGCTGTATTCCTAGGTATTTTATTCTATTTGTAGCAATTGTGAATAGGAGTTCATTCATGATTTAGCTCTCTGCTTGCCTATTTTGGTTCACTCCAGGAACCACAGAGGACACATTAATAACTGGAAGTAAAACTGCTGCCCCAGTCACCTCAACAGGCTCAACAACAGCGACACTAGAGGGACAATCAACTGCAGCTTCTTCAAGGACCTCTAATCAGGACATATCAGCTTCATCTCAGAACCACCAGACTAAGAGCACGGAGACCACCAGCAAAGCTCAAACCGACACCCTCACGCAGATGATGACATCAACTCTTTTTTCTTCCCCAAGTGTACACAATGTGATGGAGACAGCTCCTCCAGATGAAATGACCACATCATTTCCCTCCAGTGTCACCAACACACTCATGATGACATCAAAGACTATAACAATGACAACCTCCACAGACTCCACTCTTGGAAACACAGAAGAGACATCAACAGCAGGAACTGAAAGTTCTACCCCAGTGACCTCAGCAGTCTCAATAACAGCTGGACAGGAAGGACAATCACGAACAACTTCCTGGAGGACCTCTATCCAAGACACATCAGCTTCTTCTCAGAACCACTGGACTCGGAGCACGCAGACCACCAGGGAATCTCAAACCAGCACCCTAACACACAGAACCACTTCAACTCCTTCTTTCTCTCCAAGTGTACACAATGTGACAGGGACTGTTTCTCAGAAGACATCTCCTTCAGGTGAAACAGCTACCTCATCCCTCTGTAGTGTCACAAACACATCCATGATGACATCAGAGAAGATAACAGTGACAACCTCCACAGGCTCCACTCTTGGAAACCCAGGGGAGACATCATCAGTACCTGTTACTGGAAGTCTTATGCCAGTCACCTCAGCAGCCTTAGTAACATTTGATCCAGAAGGACAATCACCAGCAACTTTCTCAAGGACTTCTACTCAGGACACAACAGCTTTTTCTAAGAACCACCAGACTCAGAGCGTGGAGACCACCAGAGTATCTCAAATCAACACCCTCAACACCCTCACACCGGTTACAACATCAACTGTTTTATCCTCACCAAGTGGATTCAACCCAAGTGGAACAGTTTCTCAGGAGACATTCCCTTCTGGTGAAACAACCACCTCATCCCCTTCCAGTGTCAGCAATACATTCCTGGTAACATCAAAGGTGTTCAGAATGCCAACCTCCAGAGACTCTACTCTTGGAAACACAGAGGAGACATCACTATCTGTAAGTGGAACCATTTCTGCAATCACTTCCAAAGTTTCAACCATATGGTGGTCAGACACTCTGTCAACAGCACTCTCCCCCAGTTCTCTACCTCCAAAAATATCCACAGCTTTCCACACCCAGCAGAGTGAAGGTGCAGAGACCACAGGACGGCCTCATGAGAGGAGCTCATTCTCTCCAGGTGTGTCTCAAGAAATATTTACTCTACATGAAACAACAACATGGCCTTCCTCATTCTCCAGCAAAGGCCACACAACTTGGTCACAAACAGAACTGCCCTCAACATCAACAGGTGCTGCCACTAGGCTTGTCACAGGAAATCCATCTACAGGGACAGCTGGCACTATTCCAAGGGTCCCCTCTAAGGTCTCAGCAATAGGGGAACCAGGAGAGCCCACCACATACTCCTCCCACAGCACAACTCTCCCAAAAACAACAGGGGCAGGCGCCCAGACACAATGGACACAAGAAACGGGGACCACTGGAGAGGCTCTTCTCAGCAGCCCAAGCTACAGTGTGACTCAGATGATAAAAACGGCCACATCCCCATCTTCTTCACCTATGCTGGATAGACACACATCCCAACAAATTACAACGGCACCATCAACAAATCATTCAACAATACATTCCACAAGCACCTCTCCTCAGGAATCACCAGCTGTTTCCCAAAGGGGTCACACTCAAGCCCCGCAGACCACACAAGAATCACAAACCACGAGGTCCGTCTCCCCCATGACTGACACCAAGACAGTCACCACCCCAGGTTCTTCCTTCACAGCCAGTGGGCACTCGCCCTCAGAAATTGTTCCTCAGGACGCACCCACCATAAGTGCAGCAACAACCTTTGCCCCAGCTCCCACCGGGGATGGTCACACAACCCAGGCCCCGACCACAGCACTGCAGGCAGCACCCAGCAGCCATGATGCCACCCTGGGGCCCTCAGGAGGCACGTCACTTTCCAAAACAGGTGCCCTTACTCTGGCCAACTCTGTAGTGTCAACACCAGGGGGCCCAGAAGGACAATGGACATCAGCCTCTGCCAGCACCTCACCTGACACAGCAGCAGCCATGACCCATACCCACCAGGCTGAGAGCACAGAGGCCTCTGGACAAACACAGACCAGCGAACCGGCCTCCTCAGGGTCACGAACCACCTCAGCGGGCACAGCTACCCCTTCCTCATCCGGGGCGAGTGGCACAACACCTTCAGGAAGCGAAGGAATATCCACCTCAGGAGAGACGACAAGGTTTTCATCAAACCCCTCCAGGGACAGTCACACAACCCAGTCAACAACCGAATTGCTGTCCGCCTCAGCCAGTCATGGTGCCATCCCAGTAAGCACAGGAATGGCGTCTTCGATCGTCCCCGGCACCTTTCATCCCACCCTCTCTGAGGCCTCCACTGCAGGGAGACCGACAGGACAGTCAAGCCCAACTTCTCCCAGTGCCTCTCCTCAGGAGACAGCCGCCATTTCCCGGATGGCCCAGACTCAGAGGACAAGAACCAGCAGAGGGTCTGACACTATCAGCCTGGCGTCCCAGGCAACCGACACCTTCTCAACAGTCCCACCCACACCTCCATCGATCACATCCACTGGGCTTACATCTCCACAAACCGAGACCCACACTCTGTCACCTTCAGGGTCTGGTAAAACCTTCACCACGGCCCTCATCAGCAACGCCACCCCTCTTCCTGTCACCTACGCTTCCTCGGCATCCACAGGTCACACCACCCCTCTTCATGTCACCGATGCTTCCTCAGTATCCACAGGTCACGCCACCCCTCTTCCTGTCACCAGCCCTTCCTCAGTATCCACAGGTCACACCACCCCTCTTCCTGTCACCGACACTTCCTCAGAATCCACAGGTCACGTCACCCCTCTTCCTGTCACCAGCTTTTCCTCAGCATCCACAGGTGACAGCACCCCTCTTCCTGTCACTGACACTTCCTCAGCATCCACAGGTCACGTCACCCCTCTTCCTGTCACCAGCCTTTCCTCAGCATCCACAGGTGACACCACCCCTCTTCCTGTCACTGACACTTCCTCAGCATCCACAGGTCACGCCACCTCTCTTCCTGTCACCGACACTTCCTCAGTATCCACAGGTCACACCACCCCTCTTCCTGTCACCGACACTTCCTCAGCATCCACAGGTCACGCCACCTCTCTTCCTGTCACCGACACTTCCTCAGTATCCACAGGTCACACCACCCCTCTTCATGTCACTGATGCTTCCTCAGCATCCACAGGTCAGGCCACCCCTCTTCCTGTCACCAGCCTTTCCTCAGTATCCACAGGTGACACCACGCCTCTTCCTGTCACTAGCCCTTCCTCAGCATCCACAGGTCACGCCACCCCTCTTCTTGTCACCGACACTTCCTCAGCATCCACAGGACACGCCACCCCTCTTCCTGTCACCGACGCTTCCTCAGTGTCCACAGATCACGCCACCTCTCTTCCTGTAACCATCCCTTCCGCAGCATCCACAGGTCACACCACCCCTCTTCCTGTCACCGACACTTCCTCAGCATCCACAGGTCAGGCCACCTCTCTTCTTGTCACCGACACTTCCTCAGTATCCACAGGTGACACCACGCCTCTTCCTGTCACTAGCACTTCCTCAGCATCCACAGGTCACGTCACTCCTCTTCATGTCACCAGCCCTTCCTCAGCATCCACAGGTCACGCCACCCCTCTTCCTGTCACCAGCCTTTCCTCAGCATCCACAGGTGACACCATGCCTCTTCCTGTCACTAGCCCTTCCTCAGCATCCACAGGTGACACCACCCCTCTTCCTGTCACCGACGCTTCCTCAGTATCCACAGGTCACACCACCCCTCTTCATGTCACTGATGCTTCCTCAGCATCCACAGGTCAGGCCACCCCTCTTCCTGTCACCAGCCTTTCCTCAGTATCCACAGGTGACACCACGCCTCTTCCTGTCACTAGCCCTTCCTCAGCATCCACAGGTCACGCCACCCCTCTTCTTGTCACCGACACTTCCTCAGCATCCACAGGACACGCCACCCCTCTTCCTGTCACCGACGCTTCCTCAGTGTCCACAGATCACGCCACCTCTCTTCCTGTAACCATCCCTTCCGCAGCATCCACAGGTCACACCACCCCTCTTCCTGTCACCGACACTTCCTCAGCATCCACAGGTCAGGCCACCTCTCTTCTTGTCACCGACACTTCCTCAGTATCCACAGGTGACACCACGCCTCTTCCTGTCACTAGCACTTCCTCAGCATCCACAGGTCACGTCACTCCTCTTCATGTCACCAGCCCTTCCTCAGCATCCACAGGTCACGCCACCCCTCTTCCTGTCACCAGCCTTTCCTCAGCATCCACAGGTGACACCATGCCTCTTCCTGTCACTAGCCCTTCCTCAGCATCCACAGGTGACACCACCCCTCTTCCTGTCACCGACGCTTCCTCAGTATCCACAGGTCACACCACCCCTCTTCCTGTCACCAGCCCTTCCTCAGCATCTACAGGTCACACCACCCCTCTTCCTGTCACCGACACTTCCTCAGCATCCAAAGGTGACACCACCCCTCTTCCTGTCACCAGCCCTTCCTCAGCATCTACAGGTCACACCACCCCTCTTCCTGTCACCGACACTTCCTCAGCATCCACAGGTGACACCACCCCTCTTCCTGTCACCAATGCTTCCTCATTATCCACAGGTCACGCCACCCCTCTTCATGTCACCAGCCCTTCCTCAGCATCCACAGGTCACGCCACCCCTCTTCCTGTCACCAGCACTTCCTCAGCATCCACCGGTCACGCCACCCCTCTTCCTGTCACCGGCCTTTCCTCAGCTACCACAGATGACACCACCCGTCTTCCTGTCACCGACGTTTCCTCGGCATCCACAGGTCAGGCCACCCCTCTTCCTGTCACCAGCCTTTCCTCAGTATCCACAGGTGACACCACGCCTCTTCCTGTCACTAGCCCTTCCTCAGCATCCACAGGTCACGCCAGCCCTCTTCTTGTCACTGACGCTTCCTCAGCATCCACAGGTCAGGCCACCCCTCTTCCTGTCACCGACACTTCCTCAGTATCCACAGCTCACGCCACCCCACTTCCTGTCACCGGCCTTTCTTCAGCTTCCACAGATGACACCACCCGTCTTCCTGTCACCGACGTTTCCTCGGCATCCACAGGTCAGGCCATCCCTCTTCCTGTCACCAGCCCTTCCTCAGCATCCACAGGTGACACCACCCCTCTTCCTGTCACCGACGCTTCCTCAGCATCCACAGGTGACACCACCTCTCTTCCTGTCACCATCCCTTCCTCAGCATCTTCAGGTCACACCACCTCTCTTCCTGTCACCGACGCTTCCTCAGTGTCCACAGGTCACGCCACCTCTCTTCTTGTCACCGACGCTTCCTCAGTATCCACAGGTGACACCACCCCTCTTCCTGTCACCGACACTAACTCAGCATCCACAGGTGACACCACCCCTCTTCATGTCACCGACGCTTCCTCAGTATCCACAGGTCACGCCACCTCTCTTCCTGTCACCAGCCTTTCCTCAGCATCCACAGGTGACACCACGCCTCTTCCTGTCACTAGCCCTTCCTCAGCATCCTCAGGTCACACCACCCCTCTTCCTGTCACCGACGCTTCCTCAGTACCCACAGGTCACGCCACCTCTCTTCCTGTCACCGACGCTTCCTCAGTGTCCACAGGTCACGCCACCCCTCTTCCTGTCACCGACGCTTCCTCAGTGTCCACAGGTCATGCCACCCCTCTTCCGGTCACCGACACTTCCTCAGTATCTACAGGACAGGCCACCCCTCTTCCTGTCACCAGCCTTTCCTCAGCATCCACTGGTGACACCACGCCGCTTCCTGTCACCGATACTTCCTCAGCATCCACAGGTCAGGACACCCCTCTTCCTGTCACCAGCCTTTCCTCAGTATCCACAGGTGACACCACGCCTCTTCCTGTCACTAACCCTTCCTCAGCATCCACAGGTCACGCCACCCCTCTTCTTGTCACCGACGCTTCCTCAATATCCACAGGTCACGCCACCTCTCTTCTTGTCACCGACGCTTCCTCAGTATCCACAGGTCACGCCACCGCTCTTCATGACACCGATGCTTCCTCATTATCCACAGGGGACACCACCCCTCTTCCTGTCACCAGCCCTTCCTCAACATCCACAGGTGACACCACCCCTCTTCCTGTCACCGAAACTTCCTCAGTATCCACAGGTCACGCCACCTCTCTTCCTGTCACCGACACTTCCTCAGCATCCACAGGTCACGCCACCTCTCTTCCTGTCACCGACACTTCCTCAGCATCCACAGGTCACGCCACCCCTCTTCCTGTCACCGACACTTCCTCAGCATCCACAGGTCAGGCCACCCCTCTTCCTGTCACCAGCCCTTCCTCAGCATCCACAGGTCACGCCATCCCTCTTCTTGTCACCGACACTTCCTCAGCATCCACAGGACAGGCCACCCCTCTTCCTGTCACCAGCCTTTCCTCAGCATCCACAGGTGACACCACCCCTCTTCCTGTCACCGACGCTTCCTCAGTGTCCACAGGTCACGCCACCTCTCTTCCTGTCACCAGCCTTTCCTCAGTATCCACAGGTGACACCACTCCTCTTCCTGTCACTAGCCCTTCCTCAGCATCCACAGGTCACGCCACCCCTCTTCATGTCACCGACGCTTCCTCAGCATCCACAGGTCACGCCACCCCTCTTCCTGTCACCAGCCTTTCCTCAGCATCCACAGGTGACACCACGCCTCTTCCTGTCACTAGCCCTTCCTCAGCATCCACAGGTCACGCCACCCCTCTTCATGTCACCGACGCTTCCTCAGTATCCACAGGTGACACCACCCCTCTTCCTGTCACCAGCTCTTCCTCAGCATCCTCAGGTCACACCACCCCTCTTCCTGTCACCGACGCTTCCTCAGCATCCACAGGTGACACCACCCCTCTTCCTGTCACCGACACTTCCTCAGCATCCACAGGTCACGCCACCCATCTTCCTGTCACCGGCCTTTCCTCAGCTTCCACAGGTGACACCACCCGTCTTCCTGTCACCAACGTTTCCTCGGCATCCACAGGTCATGCCACCCCTCTTCCTGTCACCAGCACTTCCTCAGCATCCACAGGTGACACCACCCCTCTTCCTGGCACCGACACTTCCTCAGTATCCACAGGTCACACCACCCCTCTTCTTGTCACCGACGCTTCGTCAGTATCCACAGGTGACACCACCCGTCTTCCTGTCACCAGCCCTTCCTCAGCATCTACAGGTCACACCACCCCTCTACCTGTCACCGACACTCCCTCAGCATCCACAGGTGACACCACCCCTCTTCCTGTCACCAATGCTTCCTCATTATCCACACGTCACGCCACCTCTCTTCATGTCACCAGCCCTTCCTCAGCATCCACAGGTCACGCCACCTCTCTTCCTGTCACCGACACTTCCGCAGCATCCACAGGTCACGCCACCCCTCTTCCTGTCACCAGCACTTCCTCAGCATCCACAGGTGACACCACCCCTCTTCCTGTCACCGACACTTACTCAGCATCCACAGGTCAGGCCACCCCTCTTCCTGTCACCAGCCTTTCCTCAGTATCCACAGGTGACACCACGCCTCTTCCTGTCACTAGCCCTTCCTCAGCATCCACAGGTCACGCCACTCCTCTTCTTGTCACCGACGCTTCCTCAGCATCCACAGGTCAGGCCACCCCTCTTCCTGTCACCAGCCTTTCCTCAGTATCCACAGGTGACACCACGCCTCTTCCTGTCACTAGCCCTTCCTCAGCATCCACCGGTCATGCCACCTCTCTTCCTGTCACCGACACTTCCTCAGCATCCACAGGTGACACCACCTCTCTTCCTGTCACCGACACTTCCTCAGCATACACAGGTGACACCACCTCTCTTCCTGTCACCGACACTTCCTCATCATCCACAGGTGACACCACCCCTCTTCTTGTCACCGAGACTTCCTCAGTATCCACAGGTGACACCACCCCTCTTCCTGTCACCGACACTTCCTCAGCATCCACAGGTCACGCCACCCCTCTTCCTGTCACCAACACTTCCTCAGTATCCACAGGTCACGCCACCCCTCTTCATGTCACCAGCCCTTCCTCAGCATCCACAGGTCACACCACCCCTCTTCCTGTCACCGACGCTTCGTCAGTGTCCACAGGTCACGCCACCTCTCTTCCTGTCACCGACGCTTCCTCAGTGTTCACAGGTCATGCCACCTCTCTTCCTGTCACCATCCCTTCCTCAGCATCCTCAGGTCACACCACCCCTCTTCCTGTCACCGACGCTTCCTCAGTGTCCACAGGTCACGCCACCTCTCTTCCTGTCACCGACGCTTCCTCAGTGTCCACAGGTCATGCCACCCCTCTTCCTGTCACCGACGCTTCCTCAGTGTCCACAGGTCACGCTACCCCTCTTCCTCTCACCAGCCTTTCCTCAGTATCCACAGGTGACACCACGCCTCTTCCTGTCACCGACACTTCCTCAGCATCCACAGGTCAGGCCACCCCTCTTCCTGTCACCAGCCTTTCCTCAGTATCCACAGGTGACACCACCCCTCTTCCTGTCACCGACACTTCCTCAGCATCCACAGGTCACGCCACCTCTCTTCCTGTCACCGACACTTCCTCAGCATCCACAGGTCACGCCACCCCTCTTCCTGACACCGACACTTCCTCAGCATCCACAGGTCACGCCACCCTTCTTCCTGTCACCGACACTTCCTCAGCATCCATAGGTCACGCCACCTCTCTTCCTGTCACCGACACTTCCTCAATATCCACAGGTCACGCCACCCCTCTTCATGTCACCAGCCCTTCCTCAGCATCCACCGGTCACGCCACCCCGCTTCCTGTCACCGACACTTCCTCAGCATCCACAGGTCACGCCAACCCTCTTCATGTCACCAGCCCTTCCTCAGCATCCACCGGTCACGCCACCCCGCTTCCTGTCACCGACACTTCCTCAGCATCCACAGGTCACGCCACCCCTCTTCCTGTCACCAGCCTTTCCTCAGTATCCACAGGTGACACCACGCCTCTTCCTGTCACTAGCCCTTCCTCAGCATCCACAGGTCACACCACCCCTCTTCCTGTCACCGACACTTCCTCAGCATCCACAGGTCAGGCCACCGCTCTTCCTGTCACCAGCACTTCCTCAGCATCCACAGGTGACACCACCCCTCTTCCTGTCACCGACACTTCCTCAGCATCCACAGGTCAGGCCACCCCTCTTCCTGTCACCAGCCTTTCCTCAGTATCCACAGGTGACACCACGCCTCTTCCTGTCACTAGCCCTTCCTCAGCATCCACAGGTCACGCCACTCCTCTTCTTGTCACCGACGCTTCCTCAGCATCCACAGGTCAGGCCACCCCTCTTCCTGTCACCAGCCTTTCCTCAGTATCCACAGGTGACACCACGCCTCTTCCTGTCACTAGCCCTTCCTCAGCATCCACCGGTCATGCCACCTCTCTTCCTGTCACCGACACTTCCTCAGCATCCACAGGTGACACCACCTCTCTTCCTGTCACCGACACTTCCTCAGCATACACAGGTGACACCACCTCTCTTCCTGTCACCGACACTTCCTCATCATCCACAGGTGACACCACCCCTCTTCTTGTCACCGAGACTTCCTCAGTATCCACAGGTCACGCCACTCCTCTTCTTGTCACCGACGCTTCCTCAGCATCCACAGGTCACGCCACCCCTCTTCATGTCACCAGCCCTTCCTCAGCATCCACAGGTGACACCACCCCTGTGCCTGTCACCGACACTTCCTCAGTATCCACAGGTCACGCCACCCCTCTTCCTGTCACCGGCCTTTCCTCAGCTTCCACAGGTGACACCACCCGTCTTCCTGTCACCGACATTTCCTCGGCATCCACAGGTCAGGCCACCCCTCTTCCTGTCACCAACACTTCCTCAGTATCCACAGGTGACACCATGCCTCTTCCTGTCACTAGCCCTTCCTCAGCATCCACAGGTCACGCCACCCCTCTTCCTGTCACCAGCACTTCCTCAGCATCCACCGGTCACGCCACCCCTGTTCCTGTCACCAGCACTTCCTCAGCATCTACAGGTCACACCACCCCTCTTCCTGTCACCGACACTTCCTCAGCATCCACAGGTGACACCACCCCTCTTCCTGTCACCAGCCCTTCCTCAGCATCTACAGGTCACACCACCCCTCTTCATGTCACCATCCCTTCCTCAGCATCCACAGGTGACACCAGCACTCTTCCTGTCACCGGCGCTTCCTCAGCATCCACCGGTCACGCCACCCCTCTTCCTGTCACCGACACTTCCTCAGTATCCACCGGTCACGCCACGCCTCTTCCTGTCACCAGCCTTTCCTCAGTATCCACAGGTGACACCACCCCTCTTCCTGTCACCGACGCTTCCTCGGCATCCACAGGTCAGGCCACCCCTCTTCCTGTCACCAGCCTTTCCTCAGTATCCACAGGTGACACCACCCCTCTTCTTGTCACCGACGCTTCCTCAGTATCCACAGGTCACGCCACCCCTCTTCCTGTCACCGACACTTCCTCAGCATCCACAGGTGACACCACCCGTCTTCCTGTCACGGACACTTCCTCAGCATCCACAGGTCAGGCCACCCCTCTTCCTGTCACCAGCCTTTCCTCAGTATCCACAGGTGACACCACCCCTCTTCTTGTCACCGACGCTTCCTCAGTATCCACAGGTCACGCCACCCCTCTTCCTGTCACCGACACTTCCTCAGCATCCACAGGTGACACCACCCGTCTTCCTGTCACGGACACTTCCTCAGCATCCACAGGTCAGGCCACCCCTCTTCCTGTCACCATCCCTTCCTCATCATCCTCAGGTCACACCACCCCTCTTCCTGTCACCAGCACTTCCTCAGTATCTACAGGTCACGTCACCCCTCTTCATGTCACCAGCCCTTCCTCAGCATCCACAGGTCACGTCACCCCTCTTCCTGTCACCAGCACTTCCTCAGCATCCACAGGTCACGCCACCCCTCTTCTTGTCACCGACGCTTCCTCAGTGTCCACAGGTCACGCCACGCCTCTTCCTGTCACCGACGCTTCCTCAGCATCCACAGGTGACACCACCCCTCTTCCTGTCACCGACACTTCCTCAGCATCCACAGGTCAGGCCACCCCTCTTCCTGTCACCAGCCTTTCCTCAGTATCCACAGGTGACACCACCCCTCTTCCTGTCACCGACGCTTCCTCAGCATCCACAGGTCACGCCACCCCTCTTCCTGTCACCATCCCTTCCTCAGTATCCACAGGTGACACCATGCCTCTTCCTGTCACTAGCCCTTCCTCAGCATCCACAGGTCACGCCACCCCTCTTCCTGTTACCGGCCTTTCCTCAGCTTCCACAGGTGACACCACCCCTCTTCCTGTCACCGACACTTCCTCAGCATCCACACGTCACGCCACCCCTCTTCCTGTCACCGACACTTCCTCAGCTTCCACAGATGACACCACCCGTCTTCCTGTCACCGACGTTTCCTCGGCATCCACAGGACATGCCACCCCTCTTCCTGTCACCAGCACTTCCTCAGCATCCACAGGTGACACCACCCCTCTTCCTGTCACCGACACTTCCTCAGTATCCACAGGTCACGCCACCTCTCTTCCTGTCACCAGCCGTTCCTCAGCATCCACAGGTCACGCCACCCCCCTTCCTGTCACCGACACTTCCTCAGTATCCACAGGTCACGCCACCCCTCTTCCTGTCACCAGCACTTCCTCAGTATCTACAGGTCACGCCACCCCTCTTCCTGTCACCAGCCCTTCCTCAGCATCCACAGGTCACGCCACCCCTGTTCCTGTCACCAGCACTTCCTCAGCATCCACAGGTGACACCACCCCTCTTCCTGTCACCAATGCTTCCTCATTATCCACAGGTCACGCCACCCCTCTTCATGTCACCAGCCCTTCCTCAGCATCCAGAGGTGACACCAGCACTCTTCCTGTCACCGATGCTTCCTCAGCATCCACCGGTCACGCCACCCCTCTTCCTCTCACCAGCCTTTCCTCAGTATCCACAGGTGACACCACGCCTCTTCCTGTCACCGACACTTCCTCTGCATCCACAGGTCAGGCCACCCCTCTTCCTGTCACCAGCCTTTCCTCAGTATCCACAGGTGACACCACGCCTCTTCCTGTCACCATCCCTTCCTCAGCATCCTCAGGTCACACCACCTCTCTTCCTGTCACCGACGCTTCCTCAGTGTCCACAGGTCACGGCACCCCTCTTCCTGTCACCAGCACTTCCTCAGCATCCACAGGTGACACCACCCCTCTTCCTGTCACCGACACTTCCTCAGCATCCACAGGTCACGCCACCCCTCTTCCTGTCACCGACACTTCCTCAGCATCCACAGGTCACGCCACCCCTCTTCCTGTCACCAGCCTTTCCTCAGTATCCACAGGTCACGCCACCCCTCTTGCTGTCAGCAGTGCTACCTCAGCTTCCACAGTATCCTCGGACTCCCCTCTGAAGATGGAAACACCAGGTAGCTGCCAACTGCCTCGCCTTTATGTCTCCCAGTGGGCCCCTTGGCGGAATTCAGCCTAAGGAGTACCTGAGAACACTGGTGCATTCGCATTACCTGGTGGGGCCGTGTCAGGTCCCACAGGGGAGGAGGTGATGGGTGTGGTGGGTGACAGGCTCACCCTCCTTTGTGCCGCAATCGAAAAGCACTGATGTCGAGAGTAGTTTGGATATGAGCAGGGGAGAGACAAGGAGTTTCCAGCTCCCTCTTCCAGCTCCTGATTTCTTTGAATCTCTTTGACTCTCCTGTTTTGTTACTGTAAGAAACACCCCGCCTTGTCTTTTCACGTGTCCAGGAATGACAACACCGTCACTGAAGACAGACGGTGGGAGACGCACAGCCACATCACCACCCCCCACAACCTCCCAGACCATCATTTCCACCATTCCCAGCACTGCCATGCACACCCGCTCCACAGCTGCCCCCATCCCCATCCTGCCTGAGAGAGGTGAGGCCATACAGGTGAGGCCTGTGCCTTTTGAGGGGTGATGTAACTGAAGGCTCCCTCTCAGCCTACTTCCCACAGTCTCCGCTCTCTCGGGTGGGGAGGGCCTTACCGAGGACAGGG
Organism: Homo sapiens; assembly: GCF_000001405.40. Taxonomy (NCBI): domain Eukaryota; kingdom Metazoa; phylum Chordata; class Mammalia; order Primates; family Hominidae; genus Homo; species Homo sapiens. The sequence goes on from NT_187688.1 coordinate 16,554, forward strand.
ACACAGCATCGGAGTCGCTCCTGAGGGCTGGCTTTGTGCATGGCACTGGGCCAGGAGCTGGAGACAGAGAAATGACCCCAGTGCCATTCAGCAAGGGATAGATGGACGGTCCGGTAGCGGCGGTTAGAGGACTCATCCCAGGGTCTAAGTGCACACAATGGAAGGCCCTAAGGAATGCAGAGCCGGGGATGGAGGAGCACCCCAGGCAGGGAGGAGGGCGGGAACAGCTGGAACAAAGGTGTGGAAGGTATGGGTGTGGAAGGTATGGGTGTGGAAGGTATGGCTGTGGAAGGTATGGGTGTGGAAGGTATGGGTGTGGAAGGTATGGGTGTGGAAGGTATGGATGTGGAAGGTATGGGTGTGGAAGGTATGGGTGTGGAAGGTATGGGTGTGGAAGGTATGGGTGTGGAAGGTATGGGTGTGGAAGGTAAGGGTGTGGAAGGTATGGGTGTGGAAGGTATGGGTGTGGAAGGTATGGGTGTGGAAGGTATGGATGTGGAAGGTATGGGTGTGGAAGGTATGGGTGTGGAAGGTATGACTGTGGAAGGTATGGGTGTGGAAGGTATGGGTGTGGAAGGTATGGGTGTGGAAGGTATGGGTGTGGAAGGTATGGGTGTGGAAGGTATGGGTGTGGAAGGTATGACTGTGGAAGGTATGGGTGTGGAAGGTATGACTGTGGAAGGTATGGGTGTGGAAGGTAAGGGTGTGGAAGGTATGGGTGTGGAAGGTATGGGTGTGGAAGGTATGGGTGTGGAAGGTATGGGTGTGGAAGGTAAGGGTGTGGAAGGTATGGGTGTGGAAGGTATGGGTGTGGAAGGTATGGGTGTGGAAGGTAAGGGTGTGGAAGGTATGGGTGTGGAAGGTATGGGTGTGGAAGGTATGGGTGTGGAAGGTATGGATGTGGAAGGTATGGGTGTGGAAGGTATGGGTGTGGAAGGTATGACTGTGGAAGGTATGGGTGTGGAAGGTATGACTGTGGAAGGTATGGGTGTGGAAGGTATGGGTGTGGAAGGTATGGGTGTGGAAGGTATGGATGTGGAAGGTATGGGTGTGGAAGGTATGGGTGTGGAAGGTATGACTGTGGAAGGTATGGGTGTGGAAGGTATGACTGTGGAAGGTATGGGTGTGGAAGGTATGGGTGTGGAAGGTATGGGTGTGGAAGGTATGGGTGTGGAAGGTATGGATGTGGAAGGTATGGGTGTGGAAGGTATGGGTGTGGAAGGTATGACTGTGGAAGGTATGGGTGTGGAAGGTATGACTGTGGAAGGTATGGGTGTGGAAGGTAAGGGTGTGGAAGGTATGGGTGTGGAAGGTATGGGTGTGGAAGGTATGGGTGTGGAAGGTATGACTGTGGAAGGTATGGCCGTGGAAGGTATGGGTGTGGAAGGTATGGGTGTGGAAGGTATGGGTGTGGAAGGTATGGGTGTGGAAGGTATGGGTGTGGAAGGTATGGGTGTGGAAGGTATGACTGTGGAAGGTATGGGTGTGGAAGGTAAGGGTGTGGAAGGTATGGGTGTGGAAGGTATGGGTGTGGAAGGTATGACTGTGGAAGGTATGGGTGTGGAAGGTATGGGTGTGGAAGGTATGGGTGTGGAAGGTATGGGTGTGGAAGGTATGGGTGCGGAAGGTATGGGTGTGGAAGGTATGGGTGCGGAAGGTATGGGTGTGGAAGGTATGGGTGTGGAAGGTATGGATGCGGAAGGTATGGGTGTGGAAGGTATGGGTGCGGAAGGTATGGGTGCGGAAGGTATGGGTGTGGAAGGTATGGGTGTGGAAGGTATGGGTGTGGAAGGTATGGGTGTGGAAGGTATGGCTGTGGAAGGTATGGGTGTGGAAGGTATGGGTGTGGAAGGTATGACTGTGGAAGGTATGGGTGTGGAAGGTATGGGTGTGGAAGGTATGGGTGTGGAAGGTATGGGTGTGGAAGGTATGGGTGTGGAAGGTATGGGTGTGGAAGGTATGGATGTGGAAGGTATGGGTGTGGAAGGTATGGGTGTGGAAGGTATGACTGTGGAAGGTATGGGTGTGGAAGGTATGGCTGTGGAAGGTATGGGTGTGGAAGGTAAGGGTGTGGAAGGTATGGGTGTGGAAGGTATGGGTGTGGAAGGTAAGGGTGTGGAAGGTATGGGTGTGGAAGTTATGGCCGTGGAAGGTATGGATGTGGAAGGTATGGGTGTGGAAGGTATGACTGTGGAAGGTATGGATGTGGAAGGTATGGGTGTGGAAGGTATGGGTGTGGAAGGTATGACTGTGGAAGGTATGGGTGTGGAAGGTATGGGTGTGGAAGGTATGGGTGTGGAAGGTATGGGTGTGGAAGGTATGGCCGTGGAAGGTATGGGTGTGGAAGGTATGACCGTGGAAGGTATGGCCGTGGAAGGTATGGGTGTGGAAGGTAAGGGTGTGGAAGGTATGGGTGTGGAAGGTATGGGTGTGGAAGGTAAGGGTGTGGAAGGTATGGATGTGGAAGGTATGGGTGTGGAAGGTATGGGTGTGGAAGGTATCGGTGTGGAAGGTATGGGTGTGGAAGGTATGACTGTGGAAGGTATGGGTGTGGAAGGTATGACTGTGGAAGGTATGGGTGTGGAAGGTATGGGTGTGGAAGGTATGGGTGTGGAAGGTATGGGTGTGGAAGGTATGACTGTGGAAGGTATGGGTGTGGAAGGTATGGGTGTGGAAGGTATGGCTGTGGAAGGTATGGGTGTGGAAGGTATGACTGTGGAAGGTATGGGTGTGGAAGGTATGGGTGTGGAAGGTATGGGTGTGGAAGGTATGGGTGTGGAAGGTATGGGTGTGGAAGGTACGAGTGTGGTAGGTATGGCTGCAGAAAGTCGTCCCGGTGCTGCATGGGGGTGGATCCCCGAAGCATTTGGGGTGGCTGAAAATGAGAAGAAGGGTAGCAAAAAGTGCGGCCGGCATGCGGGGAATCCTGTAGGCAACGGGAGCCAGGGAGGACTCAGTTTTGCATTGTACAAATGGCATTTAACAAGTGGTGCCTGGAGCGGTCCGATTTGCAGGCAGTGAGGAGGCCAGGAGAGCCTGCGGGTTTCCAAGCAGGACCAGGGGAGGGCGCCAAGGAGTCGGCAGCTGCGAGAAATATTTGGGACAAGGTTTCTCAAACTGGAGCCCGAGGGCCTCTAGGGAGTCCTAGGTTAAATTGGAGGAGTCTTCAAGTTTATCTGGAGAAAGGCCGTCTTAGGAAACAAGTCTCATTCCCTGAAAAGGGCTTTGCAGTTACTCATCTTCATTGCGCTGGACTTTTGTCTATTTTTTTTTTTTTTTTTGAGATGGAGTTTTCGCTCTTGTTGCCCAGGCTGGAGTGCAGTGGCGCGATCTCAGCTCACTGGAACCTCAGCCTCCCGGGTTCAAGCAATTCTCCTGCCTCAGCCTCCCGAGTGGCTGGGATTACAGGCATGCGCCACCACACCCGGCTAATTTTTGTATTTTAAGTAGAGACAGGGCTTCTCCATGTTGGTCAGGCTGGTCTCGAACTCCTGACCTCGTGATCCTCCCGCCTCAGCCTCCCAAAGTGCTGGGATTACAGGCGTGAGCCACCGCACCCAGCATAGACTTTTGTCTTTTAACCCTGAAAAGGATTGAGACTAAGAGATTGAGAATCGTTTGCTGGTATTCTGACAGCAGGACCTGTTTTTCTCCAAGCTGGGGAAGGATGAGAGGCGCAGTTTAGGGAGTAAAATGACCACATGCATTTAATGTGGGTGGAGAGGGAGCGAGAAGCACCCTAGATGGCTGCCTCTGGGGCCCTCGGGGAACACAGGACAGGTGTGGGCAGCCTGCAGGGAGCGCTCTGGGATCCCTTTCAGCCCTAAAGAAGGCCCAGGCCCACTTGGACTTCCTGCTCTTCTCTGTCCTGGCCCAGGAGTTTCCCTCTTCCCCTATGGGGCAGGCGCCGGGGACCTGGAGTTCGTCAGGAGGACCGTGGACTTCACCTCCCCACTCTTCAAGCCGGCGACTGGCTTCCCCCTTGGCTCCTCTCTCCGTGATTCCCTCTACGTGAGTCCGGGCTGCGGCCCGCGCAGCCTGAACTCCCAGGGCCCACTTCTCTCTCCTGCTTCGAGACGGAACCCAGAGGAAGCGGGAATGGAAGCAGCCTTGGCTGGGCCCCTCGTCCATCCCCACAGCCTCCTTAATGTCAGGCCTCTGCCTGAGGAACACAGGGTGCCAGGCGAGGGCTGCCCACCTGCTGGGCCCACCGCTGCTTCTGCGGGGCCTTCTCAGGAGTAAAAAGCTACACTTGGGAAACTGGACTGTTCCTGCCGTTTCCACCTTCTGGGATTTGTCTCTGGCCCCCTGGTCCCTGCCTCCTGGAGCAGAGTTGGAGGGACAGTCCTGGCTCCTGTGGCCCTGAGGGAGGAGGCTGAGTCCGAACACAGCATGAGAGGGCGACTGAGCGATGGAGAGGGTGTCCACACCTGCTGAGCGATAGAGAGAGGGTGTCCACACCTGCTGAGCGATGGCGAGAGGGTGTCCACACCTGCTGAGCGATGGCGAGAGGGTGTCCACACCTGCTGAGCGATGGCGAGAGGGTGTCCACACCTGCTGAGCGATAGAGAGAGGGTGTCCACACCTGCTGAGCGATGGCGAGAGGGTGTCCACACCTGCTGAGCGATAGAGAGAGGGTGTCCACACCTGCTGAGCGATGGAGAGAGGGTGTCCACACCTGCTGAGTGATAGAGAGAGGGTGTCCACACCTGCTGAGCGATGGAGAGAGGGTGTCCACACCTGCTGAGTGAGAGAGAGGTTTCCACCCCCTAAGTGATGGAGATGGGGTGTCTGCACCCCTGAGTGATGGAGAGAGGGTGTCTACACCCCTGAGCGATGGAGGGGGGTGCCTACACCTGCTGAGCGATAGAGAGAGGTTTCCACCCCCTAAGTGATGGAGATGGGGTGTCTGCACCCCTGAGCGATGGAGAGAGGGTATCTACACCTGCTGAGTGATAGAGAGAGGTTTCCACCCCCTAAGTGATGGAGATGGGGTGTCTGCACCCCTGAGCGATGGAGAGAGGGTGTCTACACCCCTGAGCGATGGAGAGGGGGTGTCTACACCCCTGAGCGATGGAGAGAGGATGTCTACACCCCGAACGATAGAGAGGGTGTCCACACCCCTGAGCGATGAAGGGAGGGTGTCTACACCCCTGAGCGATGGAGAGAGGGTGTCCACACCCCTGAGCGATGGAGAGAGGGTGTCTACACCCCTGAGCGATGGAGAGAGGGTATCTACACCCCTGAGCGATGGAGAGAGGGTGTCTACACCCCTGAGCGATGAAGGGAGGGTGTCTATAGCCCTGAGCACCCCTGAGCGATGAAGGGAGGGTGTCTATACCCCTGAGCGATGGAGAGAGGGTGTCTACACCCCTGAGCGATGGAGAGGGGGTGTCTACACCCCTGAGCGATGGAGAGGGGGTGTCTACACCCCTGAGCGATGGAGAGAGGATGTCTACACCCCTGAGCGATGAAGGGAGGGTGTCTACACCCCTGAGGGATGGAGAGAGGGTGTCCACACCTGCTGAGTGATAGAGAGAGGTTTCCACCCCCTAAGTGATGGAGATGGGGTGTCTGCACCCCTGAGCGATGGAGAGAGGGTGTCTACACCCCTGAGCGGTGGAGAGAGGGTGTCTACACCCCTGAGCGATGAAGGGAGGGTGTCTACACCCCTGAGCGATGAAGGGAGGGTGTCTACACCCCTGAGCGATGGAGAGAGGGTGTCTACACCCCTGAGCGATGGAGGGAGGGTGTCTACACCCCTGAGCGATGAAGGGAGGGTGTCTACACCCCTGAGCGATGAAGGGAGGGTGTCTACACCCCTGAGCGATGGAGAGAGGGTGTCTACACCTGCTGAGCAATAGATAGAGGGTTCCACCCCCTAAGTGATGGAGATGGGGTGTCTGCACCCCTGAGCGATGGAGAGAGGGTGTCTACACCCCTGAGCGACGGAGGGAGGGCTCCACCCACTGAGCGATGGAGGGAGGGCTCCACCCCCTGAGCGATGGAGAGAGGGTTCCACTCCCTGAGCCCCACCTAATGTGTCGCAAACTTCAGGATGGGGCCCAGGGGACTGGCCAAGAGGGGTGTGCCTGTGAGGGGCTGGTCCACAGCCAGGGATCTGCAGTGAAACAGGACCAAGCCTACCACCCGAGGACGCAAGGGATGGCCTGAGGGCGGAGCATTCTGTGAGAATATATGGAAAGGGCTCTCCCCAAAACAGGACACAGGAGGTGACTTCCAGGGGTTGTTAGCATCTCTAAAGCTCTACCCTTGGGGGTCACGCTTTTGAGGAGCTGGACCAAGGCTGGGACTTTCCTCCCCACTTCCCTCCCTGAATGCTGACCACAAAACCCATGTGCTCAGTTCACAGACAATGGCCAGATCATCTTCCCAGAGTCAGACTACCAGATTTTCTCCTACCCCAACCCACTCCCAACAGGCTTCACAGGCCGGGACCCTGTGGCCCTGGTGGCTCCGTTCTGGGACGATGCTGACTTCTCCACTGGTCGGGGGACCACATTTTATCAGGTGAGCCTTTCAAAGCCTGGCAGTCAGGATCCCCCAGCAGCTGGCAGGGGAGACAAAGAGCTGTGTGGAAGGCTTTGCCAGAGTTGCTGCTGTGACAGCCCCTGCAGCAGGGGACTGAGGCTTAAATATGGGTGTGGGAGGAAGCAGTCAAGGGACATTAAGCTGACTCAGGAGTACCCCAACCCAACCACGAGACTGACCAGGAATACCCCAACCCAACCACGAGACTGACCAGGAATACCCCAACCCGGCCGCGAGACTGACCAGGAATACCCCAACCCAACCACGAGACTGACCAGGAATACCCCAACCCAACCACGAGACTGACCAGGAATACCCCAACCCAACCACGAGACTGACCAGGAATACCCCAACCCAACCACGAGACTGACCAGGAATACCCCAACCCAACCACGAGACTGACCAGGAATACACCAACCCAACCACGAGACTGACCAGGAATACCCCAACCCAACCACGAGACTGACCAGGAATACCCCAACCCGGCCGCGAGACTGACCAGGAATACCCCAACCCGGCCACGAGACTGACCAGGAATACCCCAACCCGGCCACGAGACTGACCAGGAATACCCCAACCCAACCACGAGACTGACCAGGAATACCCCAACCCAACCACGAGACTGACCAGGAATACCCCAACCCGGCCGCGAGACTGACCAGGAATACCCCAACCCGGCCACGAGAAGACCTACAGGTGACGGGGGATGGGGGCTGACAATTCAGCCTTTGATTGTAAAATCAGGCTGTAGGGGGTCTATCCTAACAAGAGTGAGTCAAGAGGGCCCGTCCTGTGCTCCTGGACTGGGTGAATAACTCCAATCAGAGGAAATGTGATGAAAGCTACTGCAGGAAGTGTGGACCGTGCCCCTGCCACGGACAGGGCAGTGTGGAGGCTCCAAGAGGAAGAGACTCACGCCTGTTCTCAAGAAGCTGCAGATTAGGCATGGGGAGGTAAAAGTGGGCCCGAGTGGCTCTGCTCTCTGGGCCAGTTTGAGCTAAGATGCTTGAGTTCAAGTCCAGAGGTCTTGGACGTCTGGGCCACGACCCTGCATTCTGCACACTGCAGGCCTTCCTGCAGCCCAAGTTTGAATTGAACTTCACCTCAGAAAAGCTCACGGCAAAAATGCAGGCCTGGGACAGGGGAGGGCAGGCCATTGGGTGGGCTGAAGTGGGCAGGGTCCTCAGGCAGAAAGTGGGGGGCCCATGTGTAGGAGTGGGACCCTCGTTGGCTTGTTTTCATCTGCCCTCCTTTCCTAGGAATACGAGACGTTCTATGGTGAACACAGCCTGCTAGTCCAGCAGGCCGAGTCTTGGATTAGAAAGATGACAAACAACGGGGGCTACAAGGCCAGGTGGGCCCTAAAGGTCACGTGGGTCAATGCCCACGCCTATCCTGCCCAGTGGACCCTCGGGGTGAGTAGACCCCTGGGCAGCTCCCAGGAGCTATCTGGGAGTCAGACATCCTAGAATCCTAGGCAGGGGCCACTCTTCCAAAATCCTCTCTGGCTCTAGGAAAGATTGCTAATTATAGCAAGCCCCCCCACCGCCACCCCCCCACTGCCACCACTGTTGGCTGAGCACTCACCGTGGGCCCGGCCTGTCTCGGCCCTTTGCCTACTTGACCTCACAGCAGCCCAGCAAACCGGGTATTATTAGGCTGAAACATAGCAAGTGGCATTTTTGTAAGTCAAAAATGTCTGGCTATTCACAATTTCACGTGGCTCAGTCTGGTATTATGCTCCCCATTTTACAGATGAGGAAGACAATGGTTAGAGAGGTTAAGTAACTCGTTCAGAGTCACGCCACTGGCAAATGGCAAAGCCAGGCCTGAGTGGAGCTTCTTCTGACTCCAGCCTCTGGCTCTGAAGCACAGGCTCATCCAACGGGCACAGGGTGCGCCACACCATCTCCTCTGTCCTCCCTCCGAGGACCCCGCTCTTGTAGTCACCAAGTTCTTCCTTATGCCTGGTCTAAAGTCACTCATTTCTTCATTCACTCGACAAAAGTTCACTGGTCACCTACTGTGGACAACGTGTGCGCCTTCAGTGAACCCCAGTGTCATCCATGCTGTTTAGATGGAGGAGACAATTTGGGCAATGTCCTTAAATATCCGCGCGGGAGCTAATGAAGCCTCCTCTCTAGCTCTCTGGTATCTTGGCTGATCTCAGGTTCTGGTAGCTTTCTCTAACAAACACTCATCTAACTGAATTGTAACCCAGAACCCTTTATCTCCCCTCCTGGAAGAAAGTCACCAAAAGGCAAATCCACCGTGGTAAGTGCGTTCGCACCCAGGGTGAAAGCTGCCCTCACTGACCCAAAACTTGCCAGCATTTTGGGCCCATGTCTTTGCTGTGGGCAGACCAGGAACAGGTGCTGTGCGTGTCAGAGCAGGGCTGTGGGACGGGCGGGGGGACATAAGAGAGGAGACCCCGGATCTCTCACGGGCATCCCTGTGTTTTCTTCCACCCACCCCCAGAGCAACACCTACCAAGCCATCCTCTCCACGGACGGGAGCAGGTCCTATGCCCTGTTTCTCTACCAGAGCGGTGGGATGCAGTGGGACGTGGCCCAGCGCTCAGGCAACCCGGTGCTCATGGGCTTCTCTAGGTAGGATGGGAGGGGCTGTCAGCACTGAGCAGTTGGCAGGGAGGGGTGTAGAGTCGGCTTTCGCTGCACACACACTCCCATCCTGGGGCAAGGCGGGAACCCTCCTGGCTGGTGCTTCTGACTCACGCTGACTCCAGCTCCCGCTGGGGCCAGGCATCTGGCTGCTTCCCACGACAAGATCACCCATTTGTCCGCCATGCCCTTTCCCATCCCAGTCCCCGTGAGTTGTAATCATTCCCAGAGCTTTGGCTTCCCTGATTTCCACTGACATTAGCTGGCCTCTCTTACCTTCTCAAATATCGTGATAATAACAGCCAAGACTGATGACACTAACACTTCGTGTACATTACTGCATGTCATGATCACAGCCACCCCACGAGGCAGATACTATTTATCATCCCCATTCTACAGATCAGGAAACTGAGATACAAATAGACTAGCAATTTGCCTAAAGTCCCAGAGCTGGGAAGTGGCAACATGGAGATTTGAACCCAGACATCTGAGGCTAGAATCTGCCTTCCTGACTTCCTGAGAATTACCCACTTATCCAGGGGGCACCCAAAAGCTTATATGGAGCCGGTGGTGAAGGGAGAGAGGAGGCACGGGGCTGTGGGCGGTTGAAATGTGGATTCCCGTGTGTGGGAGGCTGTCTCCGATGTAGCAGTGCGCCATCTCTGTTCCCATATGCTGGGGTGTGGCAATCAGTACGAAGGCCACATGTCTTTTGTTCTTGATAATTGCTGCAAATGTCTTCTCTTACATTGAGTGTGTTCAGGTTACCCCTTTGATTACACTGCTTTCACTAGTTTCTTGGTGTGCTATGAAGGAGAAAGGAGGGGAATTACCCAACTCTAGGAATTTCACACGGTCCAGGTACACCCAAGGAAGGTGTCACGCAGGGGTGCATCATCCTGCTTGTGTCAGGGAGGAGGAAAAGCCCAAGAGTCCCCACTCTGCAGCAGGCACCCAGGGTGGGGCTGCAGGCGGCTGCTCCAGGCTTTCCTCCTTCCCGGGCCATGCTCGGACCCCACACCTGGGGACGGTGATGGCGATAGTGGTGGTGGTGGTGGTGGTGGTGGTGGTAGTGGCGGTGGAGGTGGCAGTGGCGATGGTGATGGTGGTGATGGTGGTGGTGATGGTGGTGATGGTGGTGGTGTTGGGGGTGATGGTGGCGATGGTGGTGGTGGTGATGGTGGTGGTGGTGGTGATGGTGGTGATGATGGTGGTGGCAATGATGGTGGTGATGGTGGTGGTGGTGGTGATGGTGGTGGTGGCGATGGTGATGGTGGTGGTGATGGTGGTGGTGGCCGATGGTGGTATTTTTTGGGGGGTGGCCAGTGATGGTGGTGATGGTGATGGTGGTGGTGGTGGTGGTGGCGATGGTGGTGGTGATGGTGGTGATGGTGGTGGCAATGGTGATGATGGTGGTGGTGGTGATGGTGGTGGTGATGGTGGTGGCAATGGTAATGGTGATGGTGATGATGGTGGTGGCGATGGTGGTGGTGATGGTGATGGTGGTGGTGATGGTGATGGTGGTGGTGATGGTGATGGTGGTGGTAGTGTTGGTGGTGGTGGTGGTGATGGTGATGGTGATGGTAGTGTTGGTGGTGACGATGATGGTGGTGGTGGTGGTAGTGCTGGCGATGGTGGTGGTGGTGGTAGCAGCAGTGGCAGCATCTGTTGTATCAAGGCCTCACTCAGTTCTGAGGGATTTGCAGATGTTACTGCATTTAATCCTCACAATACAGTGAGGTAGATGCCACTGTAATCCCTTTTATACAGATGTGAAAACTAAGAATCAGAGAGGGTCAGTAACTTGTCTGTGGTCACCAAGCTAGTAAGTGGGGGGATCAGCAGTTGAATCCATCACTGCCTAACTCCAGAAACTGGGTCTTAACCATCACAATACACTGTCCCTAGAGTCTGTCCCGCTCCAAACCCTCTGCTTGTTGAAGGGAAACAAACAGAAATGAGGCCTGAACTCTGTTGTTTTCACGCCCCTGTCTCATGACCAAGCGGACCTGCCAGTTTCTTGCAGCTAGCGATCAGATGTGGAATCGGTTAGAGCCTCCTACCTCTGCCCAGCCATCTTGTCCCCTCTCCTGCTCAGTGCTGGGGCTTGACGATGGGGGCTGGCTGACCCACTGACCCACTGCCCGCCTAGCTGGTTGACCAGCTGCTGACCGGCTAGCGGGATGAATGGACGCCTTGCAACCGCGAGGCAAGAGCCTGTGCACGGCAGAGGCCTGAGAGTCTCTCCTTTCCTGCAGTGGAGATGGCTATTTCGAAAACAGCCCACTGATGTCCCAGCCAGTGTGGGAGAGGTATCGCCCTGATAGATTCCTGAATTCCAACTCAGGTAAAAGTGCCACCTTATCACACCTGAGCTGGTCTCAAGCCCTCGCGTGTCCTCCAGCCCATACACCATCGCAGTCCTAGAGGGCACCTCCCTAACATCACGGCCATCCTGAAGGGCCTCCCCCACACAGTTCAACCTCCTACAGGTCTAGGTGGGATGTGGCACCACCCAGGGAGCAGCTGGCACCTCCTGCACCCCTGGACACAGCACAGTCTCAGAGGGGGCTACATCTCCTCCCTCAGATGAACCAGCCCAAGAGGGCTCTCGGGGGGCCCAGATCCTGGAAGTGAGGACAGGGTCTTGTGGGAGGTGGGATTTGAATGGGCAGTTCAGACAATACTCCAAGTGTCCTGTCCAGAGCAGGAATGAGAACCCAGGTGAGATCCTTTAAGAAAATCTACCGGCTGGGCGCCATGGCTCACACCTGTAATCCCAGCATTTTGGGAGGCTGAGGTGGGCGGATCACTTGAGATCAGGAGTTCGAGACCAGCCTGGCCAACATGGTGAAATTCTGTCTCTACTAAAAATACAAAAATTAGCCAGACGTTGTGGTGCACACCTGTAATTCCAGCTACTCAATAGGTTGAGGCAGGAGAATTGTTTGAACCTGGGAGGTGGAGGTTGCAGCGAGCCGAGATCGCGCCACTGCACTCCAGCCTGGGTGACAGAGTGAGACTCCATCTCAAAAAGAGAGAATCCACCAAGAAGAGGCCCGGGGGTCTCACGTTCATTGTCATCATTTACTGGGCACCTGCCGTGTGCTGGACACCGTGCTAACAGCCAGAAACAAAGGAAAAAGACCAACTGTGTTTTCTCTCAAAGAGCTTTCATGCGGGTAGAAAGACAAGCGTCAAGAGGCAAACAATGGCGCCTTCTCCATGACTCAGTCCAGAGGCCCCAATGGGAAAGAAATAATAGTTTCCAAAATGTGATAGGTTGAAGGACATTTTAGCCTTAGAAACCAGCCACGTGAACTGTGAAGTGTAAATCCAGTTCTATTTGTTCTGTGGCAACCACGTTTGGTCGTCAGAAGCAGACGCTAAGTCAAGCGAGGGGCTTTGGGGGAGGAATTGTTGCCCATCTGACTTGGGTCCAAAGAGGTGAGAAGTGGCAGGAGGGGGTGCATTTGTGAGTTTTGGTTGACCCTAAAGCTGAGACAGGGCCTGCAGCCCCAGCCCTGGATAAGCCCTTTCCCCCCCATCCCCGACCTCAGGCCTCCAAGGGCTGCAGTTCTACAGGCTACACCGGGAAGAAAGGCCCAACTACCGTCTCGAGTGCCTGCAGTGGCTGAAGAGCCAGCCTCGGTGGCCCAGCTGGGGCTGGAACCAGGTCTCCTGCCCTTGTTCCTGGCAGCAGGGACGACGGGACTTACGATTCCAACCCGTCAGCATAGGTGACACCTCCTTCCCGCCCCCCACAAGCCCACCCACCACCCTCTCTGCTCACGCCCTCAGCCTCTCCCCAGAAACAGCCCCTGCTTGTTCCCACCCCGCCCCTGGCAGCCCCAGCCTGGGCCTGAGTGGGACTGGACTTGTTTCAGGTCGCTGGGGCCTCGGCAGTAGGCAGCTGTGCAGCTTCACCTCTTGGCGAGGAGGCGTGTGCTGCAGCTACGGGCCCTGGGGAGAGTTTCGTGAAGGCTGGCACGTGCAGCGTCCTTGGCAGTTGGGTGCGTGAGTCCGTGATCTCAACCCCACCTTCCCGGCCAAGTAGGGGACCCTCAGCATGAAGCCTCTCGTCCTCATTCCTTCCCAGACCCTTCCCCTCTCTGGGCCTCCACTTCCTGATCGGGTAACGTTAGGAAGCTTCCAACATCCCCACCAGCGGACATTCGGGGATGTATGAGCTGAGAGCCTCTTTCCTCATCTCTATACCTGGCTCCACATCCCCAGGCCAGAGTGGGGCCATTTCTCCAGGCAAGAAGAGAGCGCCTAGGCTGACCCCGTCCCTGTAGACCCAGATGAGCAGGATGTTTGGGGGAAGACTGAGAGTCAGCTCCCACAGAGACGCTCCAAGGGAGCTGGAGAGCGCAGGGGTGTGGGGTCACGTGGTCTGTGTCCTCCCGTTCTCTCCCCCGTCCCATGGCAGTTTCCACAGTTCCCAGACCGTCAGCCGTGCCCTCCCCACTCCCAGCACGTTGAGAGCAGCAGTACTTGGCTCTCCACCCTCAAGACAGGAAATTTGCTTAGCTCCTACCATGCGCCCTGCTGCACAGTGGCCCCAATGCCTGCAAAAGAGACAGCACCCTATTCACTGCCCAAGGTCATGAGAAGGGCCATGCTGGATTCCAAAGCCATGCTCTTGCCACCAACACCGCCCTGCCCTACCAAGCTCTCCACCAACACCGCCCTGCCCTGCCAAGCTCTCCACCAACACCGCCCTGCCCTGCCAAGCTCTCCACCAACACCGCCCTGCCCTGCCAAGCTCTCAACCAACACCACCCTGCCCTGCCAAGCTTCTCCAGGTCCTCAACCTCCCCGACTCACTGCTGTTCTCCGCAGCCCAGGAACTGGAGCCACAGAGCTGGTGCTGCCGCTGGAATGACAAGCCCTACCTCTGTGCCCTGTACCAGCAGAGGCGGCCCCACGTGGGCTGTGCTACATACAGGCCCCCACAGCCCGGTGAGCGACAGGGCCCAGGCCCAGGAAGAGCCTCTGGGGAGGGGGAGCTTCTGGGCTTCCGGGAGGTGGCATCTGGATAAGGAGTAGGGGCAGAGCTGTGGCCACAAGGGAAGATGGAGATGACGCCAGTGATGGGTGGATGGTCAGTGGAGGGGCTTTGTACCTGAGTTGGGGAAGGAGTGAGAATAGCGGGGCACGAAAATGCAAGGAGGCTTGAGGGGAGGATTCTGTGCTCTGTGAACATCTCCCCAGCTGAGTCCGCCCGGACAAGTGCCCCAGTCGACTGCAGTGAGGAACCTCACCCTGAGTCCTCCTGGACAAGTGCCGCACCTGACTGCAGTGAGGAACCTCAGCCCTACACATGATTTGTCATGCTGAGGCAGCATCTCTTTTTTCCTTCCAGCCTGGATGTTCGGGGACCCCCACATCACCACCTTGGATGGTGTCAGTTACACCTTCAATGGGCTGGGGGACTTCCTGCTGGTCGGGGCCCAAGACGGGAACTCCTCCTTCCTGCTTCAGGGCCGCACCGCCCAGACTGGCTCAGCCCAGGCCACCAACTTCATCGCCTTTGCGGCTCAGTACCGCTCCAGCAGCCTGGGCCCCGTCACGGTGAGTGAGGGGTGCCGGGAACCTCCCTGCATTCCACCCACAGGGACCTTCAGCCACATACTGAGGCCGAGGAGAAGGAAGAGAGCGAAGGAGGGGAAGCCGGGCAGGAGGGAGGGAGGACACAGCCCATCCACGCAGCTGTCCCGGAGTAAATCCTGGGGATGGTGGATTAGGGCTCTGGCCCCACGGTTTCCCAGCTGCTTGGCTTCGAAGAAACTACTTAATTTGGTTTTCTCCTAGTAAGAATGGGGATGACATTACCTGCCTCACGGGCTGTTGTAAGAGCTAAAGGGCATAATCCGAAAACCATGCCTGGCCCTGCCGAGCACACGGTAGACGGCGGCTGGCATCACCTCAGGCCGCGGCCTCCAGCGCCTTCCTCCCGGCCCAGGGCGCAGCTTCCAGCCCCAGGGGCTCTCCCAGCTGCTTTCCTGGGCGTCGGCTCCACCTGCGGGTCGGGCTCAGGCCCCCTCCCATCTCCTTCCAGGTCCAATGGCTCCTTGAGCCTCACGACGCAATCCGTGTCCTGCTGGATAACCAGACTGTGACATTTCAGCCTGACCATGAAGACGGCGGAGGTAGGTTGGGGAGCGCCGGCCGCCCCCTCCCCGCACCGGGAGCAGCGAGGTGGGCGGGAAGCCGCGTTGCGGTGCAGGGCCGGGCGCGTGGCGGTGCAGGGCCGGGTGCGTTGTGGTGCAGGGCCGGGCGCGTGGCGGTGCCGCGCCGAGTGCTTTGCGGTGCAGGGCCGGGTGCGTTGTGGTGCAGGGCCCGGTGCGTGGCGGTGCAGGGCCCGGTGCGTGGCGGTGCAGGGCCGGGTGCGTGGCGGTGCAGGGCCGGGTGCGTGGCGGTGCAGGGCCCGGTGCGTTGCGGTGCAGGGCCGGGTGCGTTGCGGTGCAGGGCCCGGTGCGTGGCGGTGCAGGGCCGAGTGCGTTGTGGTGCCGGGCCCGGTGCGTGGCGGTGCAGGGCCCGGTGCGTGGCGGTGCAGGGCCAAGAGAGCGCAGCCTCTACCCCCGAGCGGGGCGTGCAGCTCGCCGGCCTCTTCTCCGCCTCCAGTGCAGACCCCTCCCGGCTTCAGCCCCAGGGGCGGGGTGGGGGTGGTGCGGGCCCGGCAGGGCGCGGGTTTGGTGCGGGCCGTGGTGCCGACCTGGCTTCCTCTCCGCTGCCTCCCGATGCTCCAGGCCAGGAGACGTTCAACGCCACCGGAGTCCTCCTGAGCCGCAACGGCTCTGAGGTCTCGGCCAGCTTCGACGGCTGGGCCACCGTCTCGGTGATCGCGCTCTCCAACATCCTCCACGCCTCCGCCAGCCTCCCGCCCGAGTACCAGAACCGCACGGAGGGGCTCCTGGGTGAGGGCGGCTCGGACCTGCCTCTGAGGCTCCGCGGAGCCAGCCGGAGCTCGGACCCCCACGCCGGCGGCCCGGGCAGCCCTGCTCGGCCTCCCTTTCTCCGCCTCCTTGGAGCAGAACCCTTGGGGCACAGAGCGGGCCGGGAGCCGAGGGGCTTCTCCAGCCTCCCCCGAGGCTCCCTTCCTGTCCTCCGCCCGCTCTAAGGGAGCATCAGGGGGGGCTGCGGGGAGGCGGGGGGCACAGCCATCCTTTCTCCCTTTCCTCTTGCCTCCCACATCCTCCCGCCCTCCTCCACCGCTGCCCGCGTTTCCTCCCGCCCCTCCCGAAGGCAGACGGGCAGGGTGTGAGGGCCCGTCCTCCCGGCTCCCCTGGAGGCCTGACAGCAGGTGCAAGAGCAGAGGCTGCCAGGCCCTGGCCTCTCCCCACTGCGTCCGCCGGATGCTCCCCAGGAAGGGGACAGCCGCGTGCCCAGGGTGGCCAACCTCCCACTCTGTCCCTCAGGGGTCTGGAATAACAATCCAGAGGACGACTTCAGGATGCCCAATGGCTCCACCATTCCCCCAGGGAGCCCTGAGGAGATGCTTTTCCACTTTGGAATGACCTGTGAGTCTGGGCAGGGTCCTGGGGCAGAGGGGCAGGTGAGGGGAGCCGGTATGTTTATGTCGTCCCCCTCGGCCCTGTAGGAAGCAGACCTCCATCCTCCCTAAGGTCTGAGGAATCTGTGCCCCCCCAGGGCTGTCCCCACCACCACCAGCCCACCTGCCTCTCTCTACCTGGAGGAGAGAATGGGGGACGTGGAGTGTCCTCTCTCACTGCAGCAGGTGTTTCTAGACTCAGAAGCTGGAAACCGCTCTGGCCCTGCACTCCCACCGCCCCGCTCCAAGCCATCTAAAGTGAGGGGTAGAGGTGGACACAGATGGAATAAGGCTGAGTGCCATGCCTGGTACCACCGCGCTCTGTGTGTTACAGGGCAGATCAACGGGACAGGCCTCCTTGGCAAGAGGAATGACCAGCTGCCTTCCAACTTCACCCCTGTTTTCTACTCACAACTGCAAAAAAACAGCTCCTGGGCTGAACATTTGATCTCCAACTGTGACGGAGATAGCTCATGCATCTATGACACCCTGGCCCTGCGCAACGCAAGCATCGGACTTCACACGAGGGAAGTCAGTAAAAACTACGAGCAGGCGAACGCCACCCTCAGTAAGTGGCCCGAGGCCTGGGGAGGCCTTTTCAGAGTCGGGAGCAGATGAGGAGCTGCCCTTGCCTGACCCTGCTTTTCCCTGTGCATCTGCATTCACTGAGCAGATTCTTCCACTCCTGGCATTCCTCTGCTCAAACCCTTCAGAGACTTCCCTGGCTCTCTCCATCCTTGCAGTGGCCTTCGGCCCAGTTCAGCTTCTCAGAGCTCTTCTCCTAGTGCTGGACGCCTTCCCAGCCCCCTCCGTCCATCCTAGCGCTGGATGCCTTCCCAGCCCCCTTCACTCCATACTAGCGCTGGACGCCTTCCCAGCCCCCTCCACTCCATCCTAGCGCTGGACCCCTTCCCAGCCCCCTCCATCCATCCTAGCGCTGGATGCCTTCCCAGCCCCCTCCACTCCATCCTAGCGCTGGACCCCTTCCCAGCTCCCTGCACTCCAGCCCCGCAGGCTCCTCTGTGTTCTTCAAACACGCTAGGTGCGCTCAGCTCCCAGGCTTCACACGTGCTGTTCTCTTGCCTGGAATACCCTTCCTTCCCTGGACAGCCACACGCTTGCCCCTCACCTTCTTTACGTCTTCATTCCAATGTCCCCTCCTTGGTGAGGCCTCTCTTGGCCGCCCTGTCTAAAATGTCACATTCACCCACACTTCATGTTTGCCTTCCCTGCTTTATTTTTTTCTCCTTAGCATTTATAATTACTCAACATATTTTATAATTTTCACAGGTATCTTTTTAATTATTCATTCATGACTGTATCCTCACCACCCAGAACAGTGCCAGCCACTTAGCTCAATAAATGTTTGTTAAATGACTGACTGAATGAATGTGTGAAGCAACTATGAAATGGAAATGGCAGGGCTCCGAGAAACAGACCCGTGAAGAGGTTTCACTCCCTCTCTATTTCTGGACAAATGCAATGTCCCTTTAGATGTGACCCTCCAGGTTTTGTGCGTGTGTGTGTGTGTGTTGACGGAGTTTCGCTCTTGTTGCCCAGGCTGGAGTGCAGTGACGTGATCTCGGCTCGTCGCAACCTCTGCTTCCCGGGTTCAAGCGATTCTTCTGTTTCAGCCTCCTGAATAGCTGAGATTACAGGCACCCGCCACCATGCCTGACTAATTTTGTATTTTTAGTAGAGACAGGGTTTCACCATGTTGGTCAGGCTGGTCGCGAACTCCTGACCTCAGGTTATCCACCGGCCTCGGCCTCCCAAAGTGCTGGGATTACAGACATGAGACACCCAGCACCCTTCAGGTTTTCAGCCCTTTGCCAAAGGTACAACCCTTTGGTCTAAGGGTACAACCCTTTGTAATGGTCCAAACAAATCTGCTCTCTAATTCACTTTTTGTCATACCCAGCATAGCACTGTGTTCAGGAAAGAATCTGAAAGGAGCTCTTTTTGAGGAGGTGGGGGGAGAGAAAGAGGCTAAAGATTTGGCTAGGTGGGCAGTACAGTCCCAGCCTGCTGTGCGTCAGTCGAGAGCAGGTACACAGAATAATTCCTTCTTCCAGAGGTGGGTCACAGTCCTGGGAATGCCTCACACATATTAGAGTTGAGAAAGAGAGGAGGCTGATAAAGCAGGAGACTGTCCTGCCTCGGAACCCCCATTCCCTCTTTGTGTTTCAGATCAGTACCCGCCCTCCATCAATGGTGGTCGTGTGATTGAAGCCTACAAGGGGCAGACCACGCTGATTCAGTACACCAGCAATGCTGAGGATGCCAACTTCACGCTCAGAGACAGCTGCACCGACTTGGAGCTCTTTGGTAGGACTATTTGGCTGGCTGGGGAGAGTGGGGAGGTGGGTAGGGGATGAGGTCAGAGTCAAATTTGGGAAATTCTGCATTGCTACACCCAGCAACACTTGCTGTCACTCTTTCATTTGAATATCCAGGACCGGCATTTCCGAGGAGCGATATCTATAACTCAAATAGGTGCCCCCCAGTAAGTAGTAGTGACGGGCTTACGGCGGTTTGGCCAGATAGCTAGAGTGACTCTGGGCACATAGAACTGATTCAAGGCTGGGCGCGGTGGCTCATGCCTGTCATCCCAGCGCTTTGGGAGGCCGAGGTGGGCGGATCATCTGAGGTCAGGAGTTCGAGACCAGTCTGGCCAACATGGTGAAACCCCGTCTGTACTAAAAATACAAAAAAAAAAAAAAAAGCCAGGCATGGTGGTGCATGCCTGTAATCCCAGCTACTCAGGAGACTGAGGCAGGAGAATCGCTTGAACCCAGGAGGCAGATGTTGCAGTGAGCTGAGATCGCGTCACTGCACTCCAGCCTGGTGACAGAGCGAGACTCTGTCTCAAAAAAAAGATTTGAAGATCATTTAATCTCAATCTGATCATATATAGTCATCTTTAGTCATTATGCATTCACCAAATTATTAGAATAATCAAGTGCAACATTTAAAATGACCAATTTACAACATTTTTATATCTATTAAAGGAAGGCTCTAATGTAGGACAAGATTTAAAGAAATATGAAAAATACTTTCGTTTGGTACCTTTCTTGCTCTTTTTGTCTGGCAACCATGTTTACCTAGCCGTGTCTCTCCTTGTCTGGTTTCCTGGGCTAGGACCCAGTAGAGTGCCATCGCTCCCTCTCCGTAAAGGTGTTAGAGACCCCGAGCCCTACATCCATGATCAGGGCCAAAGGCTCCAAGCACAAGGGACGCTGCTTTCGTCTGTTGCCAGCACTAATTCAAAGGGTCCAAGGGCATCAAAGGGATGCCACTTTCTGTCTGTTGCCAGCACTAATTCTGAGGGTGACTGTTCTTGGCTAAACCAAAGCCCCGGGGGGCATATTTTGCGTTCTCTTTGCCTCTCTGCCTGATGTTCTTTCTCTCTGTGTCTCAGAAGGGACTGCTTTGCCTGCATCCCTTTTGCCCCATGTGCGTCCTCCCAGGTGCGAGACAATGGCACTGAGAGGTTTTCTTCTCCACGGGCCCCACCCCTGAAGGACGATGGTCTGGAAATTACGTTCGTCTATTCTCTGTCACTTCCTTTCAATCTGCTGTTTTAAGGAGACTTTCCTATTTTCTTGAAAAATATCAGTTTGATCTGAAGATATGTAGTAGTGTTTCACTACAGTCTGGTGTCTGAAGGGGGTGTCTGGGAAAGGTCCAGGAAGTGGGGGGTGGGTGAGAAATCAGGGCAAAGGATGGGGCTGCCGTGAGAGTGAAGCCAGTTTGGCCGGCAGCGCAGCCTGGGGAGGTGTCTGGAGGATCCTGGCCTTGATCCTCCATCCCCCAGGATGTCCCATCCTGGTGTGAGCCCAGCCAGGGCTGCCCTTTGGGGTTTCTTCAGGAGGAAACTGCTTTCCCCTCTGTGGCGTTCCCCGCTACAATCAGTATGTTGGACTGGTGCCACGTCCTTCCAGCTGGGAGCGTGACCAGGATCACCCCCGATACCAGCCTTGCTCAAAGGAAATGACCAATGAGATTTGTCTGGGGAGGGGGAGGGTGGCCTGAGAGGGGTGGGGGAAGCCCCGTATCAGCAATCAGACCACAGAGCCGAGGAGTCTCCCAGCTCTCAACATTCTCATCTTCCCCGGGGCAGAGAATGGGACGTTGCTGTGGACACCCAAGTCGCTGGAGCCATTCACTCTGGAGATTCTAGCAAGAAGTGCCAAGATTGGCTTGGCATCTGCACTCCAGCCCAGGACTGTGGTCTGCCATTGCAATGCAGAGAGCCAGTGTTTGTACAATCAGACCAGCAGGGTGGGCAACTCCTCCCTGGAGGTGAGTGTTGGGAGGTGGGGGAGGAGTTTCTGTGCCGAGGGGAGAGGAAATGGGAGTGGAATGGATGCTGTGATTCTGCCTGTCCTGGGTGTGTCTGTGTTGGGAGATGGGTGGAGCAGTGGTAGGTGAGTAGAGCAGATTCCAGTCTCAGGCCACAAACTCACATGGGAAGAAAGAGAACTTTCTGGCCGGGTGCAGTGGCTCACGCCTTTAATCTCAGCACTTTTGGAGGCTGAGGCAAGCGGATCACAAGGTCAGGAGATCGAGACCATCCTGACCAACATGGTGAAACCCCATCTCTACTAAAAATACAAAAATTAGCTGGGCGTGGTGGCAGGCGCCTGTAGTCCCAGCTACTCGGGAGGCTGCGGCAGGAAAATCGCTTGCACCCGGGAGGTGGAGGTTACAGTGAGCCAAGATTGCGCCATTGTACTCCAGCCTGGGCAACAGAGTGAGACTCTATGTCAAAAAGAAAGAAAAGAAAAGAAAAGAAAAGAAAAGAAAGAAAGAAGGAGGGAAAGAAAGGAAAGGAAAGAAAGGAAAGGAAAGAAAGGGAAAGGAGAAAAAGAAAGAAAGAAAGAAACTATATTGGAGAAAAAGAAGGACGAAAGAAAGAAAAAGGAAGGAAGGAAGGAAAGAGGAAAGAACCTTACTTTATTGCTTATAGTTCAACTGGATTTTTATCTCCCACCTCCCCTTCTGCCAGGTTGGCAGGAAACTTCCACCTCCGTCTTTCTCACAGCGCCCCACAGCTCTGCGGCGAAGCCCAGCAGAGGGCCCTGCGGTGTGGGGTGGAAGGTGGTTGTGGGTCCCTGGGCGTGAGTCCACACAGGTTTCCATCACAGCTCCGCCCCACTTCCCCTTCAGACCCAGGGAGAGGCTCTGCTGCTTCTGTGCCTTGCTCAGACACAGGACACCTTTTCTGAGGCCGCTTACAGTCCTGTCTGCCTAGAAGCACCCCACAGTCATTTCTCCCTAGGATGTCATCATCACGGTGCTGGGAAGAGAGCTGCGGGTCCCTCTATCTTGACACCTCCAAGCCCCTTTGCTTTCTCTTTTACTATCTCCTTCCAGCTAAAAGAAACATCTTTTCCAGTTTGGAGAAACTACTTCTCCATGTTTCTAGCCAAGATACTTGGCCTAATTCCACGACTCTTGTCCTATCTGCTTTTTTATTTTTATTTTTGGTTGTAAAGGAAGAGCCAGAAAGGAAAGTGTTTATCTGGCAACACAAAACTACCTCCTTCACCACTTACACACACACGCATGCACACGCACACACAGACACACACACACATCCTTCTGAAGCATGAGCAGAGAATGGGTACTCGAAAGGGATAGAGGTAGGGACGGTTGGTGGGGTAGGGGGTAGAAAAGCATAAAATACACAATGGGAAAAAGAGATTGAAATCAATATACTATTCCACAGATCCCCAAATATCCACTCTTGGGAGTAGCAAGTGTTAGAGGATTCCATTTTAGGGAGATTCCCCGAGTCGCTTCAGTAAGGGAGTTAGAAAGGGGAGCGCAGGGAGCTTGGTGAGGTCTCGGCGCCGCAGCCTTTGCTGAGCTGCTGTACTGGCTGCTGTGTTTTCTCACAGTGCTCAGCAGGGAGGCTCTGTCTTCTTGGTTTGGGAGTCAGCAAGGGAGGTCAATTTCAGCTTATATGAAATCCAGTTTGCAGGCCACATAGGAGCCTGAGGCAGGCGGATTGCTTGAGCTCAGGACTTTGAGACCAGCCTGGGCAATATGGCAAGACCCTGTCTCTACTAAAAATCAAAAAATTAGCTGGGCGTGGTGGCATATGCCTGTAATCTCAAGTATTTGGGAGGCTGAGGCACAAGAATTGCTTTAACTTGGGAGGGGGACATTGCAGTGAGCCGAGATCGAGACACTGCACTGCAGCGTGGGAAACAGAACGAGACTGTCTCATTAAAAAAAAAAGCAGAAGAAAAATACAAAAATTAGTGGGCGTGGTGGTGCATGCCTGTAGCCCCAGCTCCTCGGGAGGCTGAGGTGGGAGGATGGCTTGAACCTGGGAGGTGGAGTTTGCAGTGAGCCAAGATCAAGACATTGCACTCCAGCCTGGGCAACCGAGTGGGACCCTGTCTCAAAATAAATAAGGAATCCAGTTTTCAAGCAATAGGACATACATGGATACATACACACATGGATACATACACACATGGATACACACATATGGATACATACATGGATACATGCATACATGCATGACACACACATACATACATGGATACATACATGGATACATACATTGATACATATCTACATGGATACATACATGATACATACACACATGGATACACACATGGATACATACATGCATACATGCATGGATACACACATACATACATGGATACATACATACATGGATACATACATCTATACATGGATACATTCATTCATTCATTCATGCTTCAATCATTCATGCATCCCCCATCTTACTCTAGAAAGGATTTCAGGCAAAGAGCTAGAGTGTGAGAGGGAAGAGGCTGAGATCCTGGTGCAGGGCCAGGCAGGGGGTCAGGGTAAACAATGACCCAGGGAGGCCAGCTGGGCAGGACTACCGTGTGGCTTTAGGCAGGGCCTTGCCGCCCCACGGCCTGGTCAAGAAGGTGCTCAGCAGGTGCTGGTGGGGCTGAGACATGACTCAGGGTCCACGGGTTCTCAGGCCAAAGGGGTCAGTCAGAAACACCCAGAAGCCCTTCCCAGTTTGGTCTCCTGGCCGCCCGTGATCGGCAACCCTCCTCCAGGTGGCTGGCTGCAAGTGTGACGGGGGCACCTTCGGCCGCTACTGCGAGGGCTCCGAGGATGCCTGTGAGGAGCCGTGCTTCCCGAGTGTCCACTGCGTTCCTGGGAAGGGCTGCGAGGCCTGCCCTCCAAACCTGACTGGGGATGGGCGGCACTGTGCGGGTGAGCCGGGAACAGGGCCTGGAGCAGGCGCTTCTGGGAGCAGCTGATAGCTCAAGGGTGTAGACAGCCAAAGGCAAACCATTTCTCTCCTTTTTCCAGCAGATCTTTAGAATGCTCAATCTAGGCAGGTGTGGGAAATCTAGGCAGGTGTGGGAAATCATCTAGGCAGGTATGGGAAATCTAGGCAGGCCTGGAAAGGGGGTGGTGGATGGTGTGGGGCTGAAGGAGAAGAGGTTGTACAGGCATAGGGGAGGGGACGGGGCTGGGCATCCCTGAGGCATTGATGGGGGGAGCCCCGGGCGAAAGACTGAAGATGGTTTGGGGAGGAGACTTCAGCAGCCGCCAGAGAACCGGGCAAGCTGGGTCCTCGGGATCCCTGGGGATCTTCAGAGACACGAGGCTCAGGATCTCTGCATCTCACGAGTCAGGACGTTTGGAGGGGCTGGCGTGGGGATCCGGCAGCAAAGGTGCCTGATTTTCCCTTTGAGTCCTCCCAGCCATCTGTTCCTCCCGCTCTGAGTCACCAGAGTCTGATGAGGGAGATCACAGCGAGGCCTTTACCAAGCCCCCTAAGGCACCCAAATAAAATCTACAGATCACTGTGCCTTCAGAGCCGAGGCCAGAGTGGGTAGAACCGCAGCTTTTATAAAGGCAGAAAAGGAGATGGACGTGAGAGGGGAGGGCGTGAGGAAAGCCAGCTGGGGGCCCCTCCTCTGCCAGCCTTCGGGGTCCTTTCTGAAGCAGAGGGTCTGAGAAACACTCCAGTCCCTCCACAAAAGTGGAAGAATACCTGTCTGGCCGGGGAAAGGGGTTGCCCTGCAGAGAAACGCCTGGAAAAGGGGGGAAGGATGGTTTGGGGTTCCGAGTGGCCCGAAGTGGAACACTGGGGGAAAGCAAGCCTGTCCCGGAGCGGGTTTCCACGGGCTGGGCCGTCCCTCTGCTGCCCTGCGCGCTGCTGCTGACCTCCCTACTCACTCTGCAGCTCTGGGGAGCTCTTTCCTGTGTCAGAACCAGTCCTGCCCTGTGAATTACTGCTACAATCAAGGCCACTGCTACATCTCCCAGACTCTGGGCTGTCAGCCCATGTGCACCTGCCCCCCAGCCTTCACTGACAGCCGCTGCTTCCTGGCTGGGAACAACTTCAGTCCAACTGTCAACCTAGGTACCGCCAGAGACCCCGCCCTCTCACCCCCGCACTCTTCCTGGGCCCCACCCTCTCACCCCCGCACTCCGCCCACCTTTGGGGAAGATGAGGAAGCTCTGGGGTCACAGGACAGAGCTCCAGATTTCTCTGGGATGGTGTAAGGTGCGGGCTATGGGAGCTGGCGAGGCAAGCTGTCACGGCAAGGACCACGGGCCTGTGTGGCCTATGGAGGAAGGACGGAGGCAGAGACCTCACAGCTGGCTCAGTGAGATGAGCGCTGGGGAGGCCCGGAGCATAGTGGAGTGAGCCCTAGCGTGAGGGCCACTTCTCCCGGTTTCTTCAGCAACCTTCTGTCACTGTGGAATGTAGGGTGAGGGCCACTTCTCCCGGTTTGCTCAGCGACCTTCTGTCACTGTGGAATGTAGGGTGAGGGCCACTTCTCCCGGTTTCTTCAGCGACCTTCTGTCACTGTGGAATGTAGGGTGAGGGCCACTTCTCCCGGTTTCTTCAGTGACCTTCTGTCACTGGAATGGAGCAGTCAACTTGGGCTGGCCCGACAGACTTTTTGGGTAAGTCTGGGTAAACCGTGGGGTGATGATACATTTGCTTCTCCCATCTCCAGAACTTCCCTTAAGAGTCATCCAGCTCTTGCTCAGTGAAGAGGAAAATGCCTCCATGGCAGAAGTCAACGCCTCGGTCAGTGCTGCAGGCCGCGCTCTGGGTGGGAGGGGGCGCTTGGCGGGTTCAGGCCAGGGCGGAACCATCGCTGTGCGGCCTTCATCTTGTCATCCATCTGGATTCAACTGCCAGAGGAGGCCGGAGCCTCTTGCCCCATGGGAGGTGCAGGGCATTAGGAAGTGAGGAAGGCCCAAGACAGAAACCTCGACTCATCATAAGCAGAGGCCAGGGTGCCAAGTCACCCCAGCCGAGACCTCTAAGCATCTTGGTTATGATCTGAAAGAAACTAAAGGACATTTCACCTCCCGGGAGTCTTCCCTGACTTCCCAGAGGGAACGGGCGGCTCCCTCTTCTTGGCTGCCATGCCATACCTCAGTCACAGGCAAAGTGGCACAACTGCTGAGTGGTTGGGGCTGTAGAATCCTGCACACCCAGAATCAGAATCCCTGCTCTGCCCCTCACTAGAGCAGGTGTGCTAACTAGACACATCATATAACAGGTCATCTGTAAACACAGGGACAATCATAGCACCTGAGTCAACAGGCCGTATCACCGTTTAAATGATAACGCGTGTCAAGCATTTAGTCCAGTGCCTGACACACAAGTATTCAAACATGATGACTGCTATTATCACTACTGCAAGCCTAGCACTCCCCACTCCACACTCCACACGGTAAAATCTGTTGACATTTGTCACCTGCGCCAGACAATGCACTCTTTGAGTTTAGACTCCACCTAAGTCACCTTGACACCCCCAGCCCCGACCATCTCCTAGGTCTAAACAACCCATGTTCAATATACTGGGGAGGAGGTCATGAGTCATGTGTCAGAGGCAAGGTAGGGGCCATTCATGTCAGATTCTCTGCTCGTCATATGAGGCTGAGGGGGGGACAGAATGGAAAACCCTTCACTCTCAACAAACATTATTAAGCAAGGACCCATGACACTCACTGAGCTAGGCTAGAGTGCAAGGGTGCAGAGACAGGTGAGGAAGGTGCTGGGGTCCTGGGGCTCCCGTTCCAGGAGGAAACAGGGATGAATACACCCATCAAGGTGGGAGGGCGTCTCCCCCCCGGATGGGGCCTCACCCCCACCCCCATCTGCCATCCTCTAACCTAGGTGGCATACAGACTGGGGACCCTGGACATGCGGGCCTTTCTCCGCAACAGCCAAGTGGAACGAATGTAAGTGGGACTGTGTCCCCCTAAGCCCCCAGATCTCTTCCTCATCCCCCACCCCCAGCCCCCCACCCCCCCTCACCGTTGCCCTCCCACACAGCGATTCTGCAGCACCGGCCTCGGGAAGCCCCATCCAACACTGGATGGTCATCTCGGAGTTCCAGTACCGCCCTCGGGGCCCGGTCATTGACTTCCTGAACAACCAGCTGCTGGCCGCGGTGGTGGAGGCGTTCTTATACCACGTTCCACGGAGGAGTGAGGAGCCCAGGAACGACGTGGTCTTCCAGCCCATCTCCGGGGAAGACGTGCGCGATGTGACAGCCCGTGAGTCCGTCCATTCCGGGGACACTATGGGGGTCACTGCGGGGGGCGGGCAAACAGAGGTGCTTCAGCCCACACAAACAAGCTAATTGAGTTTTTCTGTTTGTTTGGTTTTGAGCGAAAACGTGAACATTTTGTCCAGCTGCTTTTTAGATTCGAGAGCAGGAGCAGCCAGCACTGCTGAGGCAGTCACACGTATACAGCTTCACGGAGCAAGCACCCAGCCAGGGCCTTGCTGACTGTGGCTGCTAATAAAACAGCAGCAATTTAGTTTCATAAAATTGCTAATAGTTTTCTTAAAATGCCATTGCACTTAAGCATACACAGGGACACCCCCATCGTCTCTGCTCTCCAGCGGGAGGATATGAAGCTGGAGACTGGAGACTGGCCAGGGACAGAGGCAACTACTCCCTGAAATGGTGTCACCCTGTGCAAGCACCTTCCCCAGGCCAGGCCAGGCCTCAACACCCCCCAGCACCTTCCCCAGGCCAGGCCAGGCCTCAACACCCCCCAGCACCTTCCCCAGGCCAGGCCTCAACACCCCCCAGCACCTCCCCGAGGCCAGGCCTCAACACTCCCCAAGCACCTTCCCCAGGCCAGGCCTCAGCACCCCCATCTGAAAATGAGATGGGATTTCTGAGCCCCCTTTCAGTGCTGACAGCCCCCGGTTTTCCTGGAACAGGAATAAGTTGGCAAGCTTGTCAGAGAAACAAAGGAATAACACGTCCTATTTTCTGTATAGGGCAGAGAACAGGGCAGGGGCCGCCCCAAACACAACAGGAACTGCTGTTTTACTTGGGTCTGGGACCAAGCAAGAGCTTCTCCCAGAATCCAGGCTAAGCCCGCTCTCTCCCGGAGCAGGGGGTGAAATCCCTCAGAACTACTGTATGTTGGGGAGTTGGGGTAGGAGGCGCAGGGAGGCAAGCCCTGACTATGCAATTAAGGAAAACCTATAATTTTTATTATACAAGCATCGTATGTTTATTGCAGAAACTTTAGGAAACACAAACTTAACAAAAAGAAAAGAGGAAAAAAACCCTGTAATCCCAATCCCCAGAGAGACAACAGTATTTCCTACATATCCTTCTGAACTTTCTTTTATGCCTAGGAACCTTCAGACATCCATTTTTTACTGAAGGATCAAATCATTCCTAATGTTGGAAAACCTCCTCATTAAACAGTTGTGAACAGGTTGTCTCATATATTCTGTCCACATTCCCATTTGACATATTATGATGGTATGTTTGAATATAGTGTCATATTTTAAAATACATTATAATAATCATTACCATTGTTTGAGTGCTTACTGTGTGTCCGGCACTGTACTGAGTACTGTGGACACATTATCTCATTTAAATCTCACAGCAGCATAAGTGCTATTATGATCATTTCCTTTTAAAGATAAGGAAACTGAAGCTGAAAGAGTGAAGGAATGTTCCCTGAATTACACATCTAGTCACTAGCAGAGTTTCAGTTTCCACCCAAGTCTGGCCACCTTCAAAGCATGTGCTCTTCAGGAAAGCATTTTCCATAGGAACCTTTTTCCACAGGAACCTTTTTCCCTAGGAACCTTTTTCCCTAGGAAACTTTTTCCATAGGAAGCACCATCCCTTGGTAAGGATGTGCAGTAGTTTATTTAACCAGACCCTACTTCTGAAACGTTACTATTATCCACCATGCTGATCTGAACGTCCAGGGGCATATGTATCTGTGCACTTCTCCAATTATTTCTCAGGATAAACACCCGAAAAGGAATTCGTGGCTGAAAAGGTACTGATTTAGTGTTCATCGGTTGCTTTCTGTGTTAATCTGTGTCCTTCCCGACAGTGAACGTGAGCACGCTGAAGGCTTACTTCAGATGCGATGGCTACAAGGGCTACGACCTGGTCTACAGCCCCCAGAGCGGCTTCACCTGCGTGTCCCCGTGCAGTAGGGGCTACTGTGACCATGGAGGCCAGTGCCAGCACCTGCCCAGTGGGCCCCGCTGCAGGTGCATAGGGCTGTGGCCAGGAGGTGGAGGACAGTGCTGGGGAACCCAAGCTGGGCAAGACACTGCAAGGGGTCCAGGAATTAGGATGGCTCGAGAGATCAGAGACCAGGGAAGAGAGGACAGTGGAAAAGGAGAGTTGTGAGTGCCTGCTCTGTGTGGAGAATAAAGGCGCTATATTACAAACTCTGAAACCCAAAAGAGCCATAGGGGGGCTTAGAACTATTTCGAAGATGAGAAAACTGCAGCTTAGAGATGACAAGGAACCTGCCCCAGGACGCAGTAGGTTAAGCAGCAGGGCATGGTTTCCAAAGCCAAACATTTTTTATATTTTTATGTTTTGAGATGGAGTGTCATTTGTCGCCCAGGCTGGAGTGCAGTGGTGCGTTCTCGGCTCACTGCAACGTCCTTCTCCCGCGTTCAAGCGATTCTCCTGCCTCAGCCTCCCGAGTAGTTGGGACTACAGGCACGCACCACCACGCCCAGCTGATTTTTGCATTTTTAGTAGAGACGGGGTTTCGCCATGTTGGTCAGGCTGGTCTCGAACTCCTGACCTCAGGTGATCCGTCCACCTTGGCCTCCCAAAGTGCTGAGATTACAGGCGTGAGCCACCGCGCCAGGGCCCAAAGTCAAACCCTCCCACCTGATCTGGCTGCTGCTTCCCTGCTGTCTCCTTGTGGGAAAAGAACCTGCAGTCCTGTGTCTAGGCCAGTCCTGCCCCTCAGTCAAGCGAGGCGCCTTTGCCCCTGCCCTCACCAGCAGTCCCCGGGGCTCCGCTGGTTAACAGCGCAGGAAGCCGCGGCCCCACGCAGACCTGGGCTCCGGGCCCTCCGCCAGCTGCAGTTCCAGATCCCGCCGAAGGAGGGGGCGGGCGGAGCGCGGGTGGGGCGGGGCCCGGCTCTCCGGGTGGGCGGGGCGGGGCGGGGCCGGGCTGGGGCGGGGGTGTGACTGCGCATGCCCACCTGTGGCCGGCATCCCTGCCGCCCAGGTGCAGCTGACTGCACGTGCAGCTGAATTCACACCAGGTTTTTGTTTTTGTTTTTTGAGACGGAGTCTTGCTCTGTCCCCCAGGCTGGAGTGCAGTGTTGCAATCTCGGCTCACTGCAACCTCCACCTCCCAGGTTCAAGCGATTCTGCCTCAGCCTCCTGAGTAGCTGGGATTACAGGTGCGCACCACCACGCCTGGCTAATTTTGTATTTTTAGTAGAGATGGGGTTTCACCGTGTTGGCCAGTCTGGTCTCGAACCCCTGACCTCAAGTGATGCGCCCGCCTCAGCCTCTCAATGTGCTGGGATTACAGGCGTGAGCCCCCGCGCCGGCCCAGGCCCATGTTTTTAAAGCCCACACCTGCCTCCTTTGCCCAGTGGTCTCACTTCAGCACGGCCTCAGGGCTGACTCAGTCTCTCCGGAGAGTGGGGCGAGCCCAGCCTCTCCTACAGAACCTCTTCTTCCCCAGCAGAAGAGGAGGGGCTGGGAGGCTGAGCTCCCGCCTCTGACCGCCTGTCTGTCTCTCTTGGTCACCAGCTGTGTGTCCTTCTCCATCTACACGGCCTGGGGCGAGCACTGTGAGCACCTGAGCATGAAACTCGACGCGTTCTTCGGCATCTTCTTTGGGGCCCTGGGCGGCCTCTTGCTGCTGGGGGTCGGGACGTTCGTGGTCCTGCGCTTCTGGGGTTGCTCCGGGGCCAGGTTCTCCTATTTCCTGAACTCAGCTGAGGCCTTGCCTTGAAGGGGCAGCTGTGGCCTAGGCTACCTCAAGACTCACCTCATCCTTACCGCACATTTAAGGCGCCATTGCTTTTGGGAGACTGGAAAAGGGAAGGTGACTGAAGGCTGTCAGGATTCTTCAAGGAGAATGAATACTGGGAATCAAGACAAGACTATACCTTATCCATAGGCGCAGGTGCACAGGGGGAGGCCATAAAGATCAAACATGCATGGATGGGTCCTCACGCAGACACACCCACAGAAGGACACTAGCCTGTGCACGCGCGCGTGCACACACACACACACACAAGAGTTCATAATGTGGTGATGGCCCTAAGTTAAGCAAAATGCTTCTGCACACAAAACTCTCTGGTTTACTTCAAATTAACTCTATTTAAATAAAGTCTCTCTGACTTTTTGTGTCTTCAAAACCAGGAATTCCATTCCTGATTTTCTTCTGGTGGCCGAAGGGCTGGACACAGACTTCTCCCAACCATCAGAGGGCACAGAGTGTGGAGGTTAAGTGCTGGGCAGCAGTGGAGCATTAGGGGCAGCTGGATCCAGTCCTAATCAGCCCCGTTACCCATGCTGGAAACCCTCAGTTGCTCCACCCCAACCTTGCTTCATGCTCCACATCACCTTCTTCTTCCCCCACCCCAGCACAGGCCAAAGCTTCGCCCGCTAAGGAGGAGAGCGAAAGAGATACCCCAAGATGGAGTGCCCCAGACTCTCTCCCAGGACCCCTCCCTGCCTGCCTGTCCATCAGTTTCACAAAAGTTGTAAAAGGATCAATGCACAGTGTGTTTACCTGTCTGGTGGCTGTCCCCACCGCCTGCGTTTCATGGAAGAGCGATTAAACCATTTCAGCTCCCTTTCCAGGAACCAACTCAAGAAACATGCCACCACCCCACCCTTAGATCTGGAGGGCCCGACCCCTCATATACCCTCTCTGTCCTTTCCCGGACCCCAGATGGAGTCTTCTGAGGTTCTCCATCCCACAGCCCTTCACCTCTACCCTGCCTCCACTTGCCCCAGCAACCTGATCAGCTTCCACAGAATCCTCTCAGCAGGCGGGACTTTTACACCTATCTGGTGTAATAACTCCAACACAATTGGTCCACAATTCCTGTGTCTAGAAAATCTCAATTCCAACTTTATGCAGAAACTAGGTAGCTGCCTCTTAGTTCTAAATCCCAAATCCCTGAAGAGAGAATCTGACTGGTCCAATTTACATCAGTTGTTTATGCCTGGTCCAATAAAATGTAGTCATGGGGTCAGAAAGGAGGTCACATGGTGCAAAGCAGGTGTTCAAGCTCATTCTTGCGGGTGGGTAAGTGCTGTTGAAGGAAGCTCCCAAAGGAATATCTTTGGTTGGGCACGGTGGCTCACGCCTGTAATCCCAACATTTTGGGAGGCCAAGGCGGGCAGATCACTTGAGGCCAGGAGTTTGAGACCAGCCTGGCCAACATAGTGAAACCCTGTCTCTACTAAAATACAAAAATTCGCTGGGCGTGGTGGCACACGCCTATAATCCCAGCTACTCAGGAGGCTGAGGCAGGAGAATCTCTTGAACCCAGGAGGCGGAGGTTGCAGTGAGCTGAGATTGTGCCACTGCACTCCAGCCTGGGCAACAGAGCAAGACTCTGTCTCAAAAAAAAAAAAAAAATATATATATATATATATATATATATAAAGAATATATATATAATCTTTGTATTAGGGTTCCCTAGAGGGTCAGGACTAATAGGATAGATGTATATATAAAGGGGAGTTTATGAAGGAGTATCGACTCACACGATCACAAAGTGAGGTCCACAATAGGCTGTCTGCAAGCTGAGAAGCAGGGAAGCTAGTCTGAATCCCAAGATCTCAAAAGTAGGGAAGCCGACAGTGTAACCTTAAGTCTGTGGCAGAAGGCCCAAGAGCCCCTGACAAACCACCAGTGTAAGTCCAAGAGTCCAAAAGCTGAAGAACTGGAAGTCCGATGTTTGAGGGCAGGAAGCATCCAGCACGGGAGAAAGATGAAGGCTGGAAGACTTAGCCAGTGTAATCCTTCCACATTCCTCTGCCTGCTTTATTCTGGCTATGCTGGCAGCTGATTAGATTGTGTCCACCCAGACTGAGAGTGAGCCTGCCTCTCCCAGTCCACTGATTCAAATATTAGTCTCCATTGCCAACACCCTCACAGAGAGACACCCAGGAACAATACGTTGCATCCTTCAGTCCAATCAAGTTGACACTCAATATTAACCTTCACAGTCTTTGATCTGAGCAGACTCCAAACTTACATGGAGAATGACTTCTCCCAATAGGTGAAGCCACTCTCCTACATACAAAGCTGTAGCTTTACCCTCATATGCCCCAAAGTGGAATGTAATGAAGTCTCCATACAAAACTGCAGTCACAGCATTCATTTATCAAGAAGCAAGCACACAGCACAGATGAGTTCGCTGGTGAATTTTAGCAGATATTTAAGGGGAAATAATACCTATTTTCTGCAATCTTTTCCAGAAGATAGAAGCAGGAGGAATACTTCCTAAGTCATTTGTCACTGTCACCCTAATGCCAAAACGGGACAAAGACATTACAAGACGACTATAGACCAATATATCTCACATAGATGCAAAAATTACCAACAAAATATTAGCAAATACAGTTCAACAATATGTAAAAAGAATTATAGGCCATGACCAACAGAGATTTATCCCAGGTATGCAAGACTGGTTCAATATTCAAAAATCAGCTAATGCAATCCGTTACATCAACAGGCTAGAGAATAAAAATCACATGATCGGCCAGGCATGGTGGCTCACGTCTGTAATCCCAGCACTTTGGGAGGCCGAGGCAGGCGGATCACGAGTTCAGGAGATCGAGACCATCCTGGCTAACACGGTGAAACCCCATCTCTACTAAAAACACAAAAAATTAGCTGGGCGTGGTGGTGGGCGCCTGTAGTCCCAGCTGCTTGGGAGGCTGAGGCAGGAGAATGGTGTGAACCCAGGAGGCGGAGATTGCAGTGAGCCGAGATCACACCACTGCACTCCAGCCTGGGTGACAGAGTGAGACTCTGTCTCAAAAAATAAATAAATAAATAAATAAATAAATAAATAAATAAATAAAAGAATATCTACAAAAACCTACAGCTAACATCATCCTTAACGGTGAGAAATTAGATGCTTTCCCCTAAGATTAGTAACAAGGCAAGAACGTCCCCTCTCACCATCGATTCTCAACATCCTGCTGGAGGTCTTGGCCAATGCAACTAGACACAAAAGGGAAATAAAAGGTATACAGAATAAAAAGGAAGAAACAAAACTGCTTTGTTCACAGATGACACAATCATCTATGTTAAAAAATCTAAGAGTTGACAAAAGGAAAAAACCCCAGAACAAAGAAGCAATTTCAGACAAGTTTCATGATATAAGGTTAGTGTCCTAACGTCAACAGCTTTCGTGTGTGCCAGCAAAGAACAATTGGAATTTAGAATTAAAAATATTTGAGCAAGACAGGAAACAAAAAAAGAAAAATGAATAATAAAATTAAATACATATGACCATTTACATTAGCATCCCCCAAAATGAAATACTGAGGTGTAAATGTAACAAAATATGTACAAGATCTATATGAGAAAAACTATAAAACTCTGATGAAAGATATCAAAGAACTTCATAAATGGGATGACATTCTATGTTTATGAACAGGAAGACTCTTTTTTTTTTTTTTTTTTGAGATGGAGTCTCCCTCTGTCACCCAGGCTGGAGTGCAGTGGCACCATCTCAGCTCACTGCAACCTCAGCCTCCCGGGTTCAAGCAATTCTCTTGCCTCAGCCTCATGAGTAGCTGGGATTACAGGCACACACCACCACGCCTGGCTAATTTTTTTTTGTATTTTTAGTAGAGATAGGGTTTCGGCATTTTGGCCAGGCTGATCTCAAACTCCTGACCTCAGGTGATCCACCCTCCTCGGCATCCCAAAGTGCTGGGATTATAGGTGTGCGCCAGCACAACAGGCCAGAAGACTCAATATTATTAAGATAGCAGTTCTCAATATTATCAAGATAGCAGCAGATCAAGATAGCCAACTTGATCTACAGATTCTACATAATGACACAATCTTAATCAAAATCCCAGGAAGTTATTTGTAGATATGGATAAACTGGCTCTAAAGTTTATGTGGAGAGGCAAAAGATCCAAAATAGCCAAATCAATATTGATGGAGAATGGTCAGAGGACTGATACCACCTGACTTCAAGGCTTACTCTAAAGCTATAGTCATGAAAGCAGCATGATACTGGCAAAAGAATAGACAAATAGATCAATGGAACAGAATAGAGAGCCCAGAATATTAAAAGTAATATTTCTAATAGACCTGTATAAATGTGTCAACTGATCTTTGACAAAGCAGCAGAGGCCACACAATGGAGCAGAGATAGTGTTTTCAATAAATGACGCTGGGACAACCGGACATCCACAAGCAAAAAAAAAAAAAAAAAAAATCTAGACACAGACCTTATACCTTTCATAAAAACTCAAAATGAATCATAAACCTCAATAAAATGCAAAACTGTAAGACTCCCAGAAGATAATATAGGAGAAAATCTAAATGACCTTGAGTATGGTGATGACATTTTAGATACAATAGCAAGGGCATGATCCATGAAGGAAATAATTGATGAGCTGAACTTCATTAACATTAAAAACTTCTTCTCTGTGAAAGGCAATGGCAAGAGAATGAAAATATTTGCAAAAGTCCCATCTGATTAAAGACTTTTATCTAAAATATACAAAGAGCCGGGTGCACTGGCTCAGACCTGAAATCCCAGCACTTTGGGAGGCTGAGGTAAGCGGATCAATTGAGGTCAGGCGTTGGAGACCAGCCTGGCCAACATGGTGAAACCCTGTCTCTACTAAAAATACAAAAATTAGCTGGGTGTGGTGGCGGGCGCCATTACTACTACCAGTAGTAGTAATCCCAGCTACTCGGGAGGCTGAGGCAGGATAATCACTTGAACCCAGGAGGCGGAGATTGCAGTGAACTGAGATCGCGCCACTGCACTCCAGCCTGGGCAACAGAGTGAGACTCTGTCTCAAAAAATATTAATTAATTAATTAAATATACAAATAACTCTTACAACTCAACAATAAGAAAATGAACAACCCAGTTTTTTAAATGGGTAAAAAAACTGAACATACATATCACCAAAGAAGACATTCACATGGCACATAAGCATCTACAAAGATGTTCAACATCGTATGTCATTAGGGAACCGCAAACAACGCGAAACCCATGCACACCCGTTAGAATGACCACAATCGCCAGGCATCGTGGCTCACAACTGTACTCAATACACACCTGTTAGAATGACCACAGTCACCAGGCACTGTGGCTCACACCTGTACTCCCAGCACTTTGGGAGGCTGAAGCAGGAGGATCACTGGAGCCCAGGAGTTTGAGACCAGCCTGGGCAACAAAGCAAGATCCCATCTCTACAAAAAATTAAAAAATTATATGGGCACGGTAGCATGTGACTGTGGTCCCAGCTACTCTGGAGGCTGAGATGGCAGGATTGCTTGAGCCCAGGAGGTTGAGGCTGCAGTGAGCCGCGATCCAGCCTTCACTCCAGCCTGAGCAATGGAGTGAGACCCCGTCTCAAAAGAAAAAGAAAAAAAGAATGATCAAAATCCACAGCACTGAAAACTTCAAATGCTGTTCAGGATGTGGAGCAACAGGAACCCTCCTTCATTGCTGGTGGGAAGGCAACATGGTACAACCACTTTGGAAGACAATTTGGCAGTTTCTTTTTTTTTTTTTTTTTTGGAGATGGAGTCTGGCTCTGTCGCCCAGGCTGGAGTGCAGTGGCACGATCTCGGCTCACTGCAAGCTCCGCCTCCCGGGTTCACGCGATTCTCCTGCCTCAGCCTCCTCAGCAGCTGGGACCACAGGCGCCCGCAATTTGGCACTTTCTTACCAAACTAAACCATACTCTTACTATGCAGTCCAGCAATCACACTCCTTGATATTTACCCAAAGGGACAGAAAACGTTTTTGTCCACACGAAAACCTGCACATGGAGGTTTATAGCAGCTTTATTCATAATTTATAGCAGCTTTATTCATAATTGCCAAAACTTGGAAGCAACCAAGATGTCCTTCAGCAGGTGAACGGGTAAATAACCTATGGTGCATTCAGACGATGGAATATTATTCAGTGCTAAAATGAAATGAATTACACAGCCATGAAAATACATACAGAAAACTTAAATGCATATACTATGTGAAAGAAGACAATCTGAAAAGGCTATTTACCTTACGGTTGCAATTATATGACATTCTGGAAAAGGTAAAACTATGGAGACAGTGAAAAGATCAGTGGTTGCCAGGGGTTGGGGATGAATAAGTGAAGCACAGAGGATTTTTAGGGCACTGAAACTACTTATTTTTCTGTATGATGCTACAATGGCAGAAACATTTATGTTATTTTTTGAGATTGAGTCTCACTCTGTCGCCCAGAATGGAGTGCAGTGGTGCGATCTCTGCTCACTGCAACCTCCACCTCCCGGGTTCAAGCGATTCTCCTGCCTCAGCCTTCCATGTAGCTAAGACTACAGGCATGCGCCACCACACCCGGCTAATTTTTGTATTTTTAGTAGAGATGGGTTTTCGCCGTGTTGGCCAGGCTGGTCTCGAACTCCTGATCTCAAAGAGATCCACCCGCCTCCACCTCCCAAAGTGCTGAGATTACAGGCATGAGCCACTGCGCCGGGCCAGCCGATACGTTGTTGAATAGAGAATGGAGAATATCCAACGCCAAAAATGTGCTGTCAACTCTGGACTTTGATGAGGATATGTTGACGTGGACGCATCGACTGTCACACGTGCCACCTGGTGCAGGGCGTTGGTGGTGGGGGAGGCTGGGCGTAGGTATATGTGTGTGTGGCAGGGGGCATATGGGAACTTTCTGTATTTTCCACTCAGGAAAATTTTGCTGTAAACCCAAAACTGCTCTAAAAAGCAAATTTTATTATTTAAAAGATGATTTTAAAATTAATATATTTAAATTTTTAAAAGAATTAAGCACACATGGCACTAACGGGGCGGCTAGGGAGCCAACCATCCATCAGTTGTGAGGAAGGGGGAGGCCTGCAGGCATGAAGGAGCTGGTGAGACCGCCCTCACCTGGCTGCCAGAATCCCAATTCCATGAGGACCTTGTCATGTGACTCAAAGTCAGAGACAGCAGAAGGTCCAAAAGTTACAACTTACCTGAAACCCACCAGGCACTATTGGCAAAGGATTCACCCCCACCATGGAAGGCACGTGAGCGCTGTGGGTGCCCTGTGTCATCAACTGCGGAGAAAGGAAACCAGAAAGAGCAAAAGCAAAGCAGCGAGTGGGGAGCAGAACCGCCCCAAACCCAAGGTCCCTCCTCCCCTGTCCACCTTCACACACTAAGCAATGGAGGGAGCGGGAGGACAGAGCCTGTGTTTGATGGACAGCTCCTCCCGAGGCAGAGGAGAGGCCCAATACCTGGGAGAAGGCTGGGAGCTTGCTACCCCTGAAGGAGACCCGCAGATTGGAGGGAAGAGAGGAGCCAGGGACCCTCGTGGGAGAGGATGCATTAAAAGTAGGGCTGTCTGGGCCAGGTGTGGTGGCTCACACCTGTAATCCCAGCACTTTGGGAGGCCGAGGCAGGCAAGTCACCTGAGGTCAGGAGTTCAAGACCAGCCTGACCAACATGGTGAAACCCTGTTTCTACCAAAAATATAACAAATTAGCTGGGCGTGGTGGCGCACACCTGTAATCCCAGCTACTTGGGAGGCTGAGACAGGAGAATCCCTTGAAACCAGGAGGCGGAGCTTGCAGTGAGCCGAGATGGCACCACTGCACTCCAGCCTGGGTGACAGAGTGAGACTGGGTCTCAATAATAATAATAATAATAATAATGAAAGTAGGGCTGTCCAATTTAGCAAATGAAAATACAAGCAGCCCAGCTTAAATTTCAGATTAACCACAAATAATTGTTTTAGTTTAAAGATATCCCATGAACTATTTGGAACATTCTTGTATATTTTTAAGTGTTCACCGTTTATCCGAGGTTCTCATTTAAGTGGCTGTTCTGTGTTTTCTTGGTGAGCCCAGTCAAAGCCGCTGAGGCCCTGACAGCACGGGAGGAGGAGGCGTCCCAAGAAAGGAGAGGGCACCTGGGGACACCCTTCTCTAGCTGGACAGGGAGCTGCCCCTTCACGAGTGGGACAGTCAGAAGGACAAGGACACAACCATCCATTTTCGTCAGCTCATTCCCTGGCTACAAGTGGTCTGGATTCTGTCGCTTTGGCCCCTGGAATAAAATAACTGACTGACCCTTCCCCAGGGTGCCAGGTGTGAGTTTGCTTGGAAGAGAGAAGGGTGCAGACCCCCGACCCCTGCTGGTGGCAGCAGCTGGGACACCTTCAGTGGGCTCGAGAGTGGCAAAAGGAGCTATCTGGGGCAAAGCTTGGCCAAAGACACAGACTCCCTTGCCCATTCTTCCCTGCTTCAAAGGAGCCTTCCAGAAACTCCCCACAGGCCTGAAGTAAGTGGCTTAATGACTGGGATGATGAGTGATAGGTCACTGGCATGATGCACCCCTTTACGCATTTACTGGCACCAGAAAGTGATATCATGGCCACTATTAAAGTGTGGGGCGCACCCACGGAATTCGTTTCCATTCAAATGCTTTGCATACTTTGGTGGCCAATCCCCCTCTCAAGGGATGAAGGCAGGACTGGCTGTGGCAGAAGCTTCAGATGAGGTCTCTGGTCAGAGAAGTTCCACCTCACGTTGTCTTCATCATTGCTGTGGAGTTTCGCCGTCTCAGAGCTCACACCAAGTCACAGGTGACTTTAGACAGGCCATCTTGTTTAGGTCCATGCTTAAATTTGTCTTTATAAAACGTGGCATTTTTACCTCATATACACACACTTTAGAATCTTAAATAGCTGGAGAGTTTTCTCCAGGGACTTCTGGCTCCTGTTAGCTTGGTAACATTACTCCTGCTAACTTTGGTCATCTCCAGTAATACAGGCGTGCACACACACACACACACACACACACACACAGTCTCTCTTCCTCTTTATTGTCCCCCCCCAACCCACCCACATGCAATCATAATGATACATTTTAGTTCCCAAATGCTTCTAATTTGTGTTGTTCTTGTTGACGTTTTGAGACACGGTCTCGCTCTGTCACCAGGCTGGAGTGCAGTGACGCAATCTCAGCTCACTGCAACCTCCGCCTCCCAGGTTCAAGTGATTCTCCTGCCTCACCCTTTTGAGTAGTTGGGATTACAGGCACCTGCCACTATGCCCAGCTAATTTGTGTATTTTTAGTAGAGACAGGATTTCACCATGTTGCCTGGGTTGGTCTCAAACTCCTGGCCTCAAGTGATCCGCCTGCCTCGGCCTCTCAAAGTGCTGGGATTACAGGCATGAGCCACCGCACCCAGTCTCTAATTTGTGTATCCCATATTTTACAGATTTTTTAAGCTAGTCAAATTTTACAATTTTTTTACTTCCAAAAATAGCAGTAATCAGCATCATATGTACATGTCCGTGTCCTCATATGTAGTAATTAAGATTACATGAGCCACTGTATTAAGTATCACCCACTTGAGGAAATACAAAGCAAGAGAAGAAAACCTATTTAAGAATTGGGTTTATATAACAGTGGTGTTGTCATTTTTGTAAACTGCTCTCCATTCATGCCAAATTATAGAGCAGCTTCGGAACAATTATATCATTAAATTTACGTTTTGTGTGATTTCAGTACTGAATGCCCTTTTCTTAACTTTCAGAGCCCACTGAAAGTTTCGGGGCTCACGTGGCCCACCATTGTCCCAGTCACTCAGCAAACACATCAGTGCCCTCATGTGGAGGGCTCCACGCCAGCTTCTGTGATGACAGAGGTGAATACTACCGGCTGCTTGTCCTCGAGCACGTACAATGTAACAAACTTGTAAATAAAATAAGCACATTATAATACAGCATGTTAAGTGTTACAACAGAAACACAAGAGACCAGAAAATCAGCACCTCTGTAGGGAATCTGATGAAGTCATGGAGAGGTGCCATCTGAACTGGGCTTTGAGGAATGAATAGGAGTTTTCCAGGTGAAGGGACCAGGGGGAGGAATCATGATGGGCAGACGCTCCAGATGAAAGCAGGTGTGCCTGGGGTTAGCGAGCTGCTTCCTGTGCAAGCAGCATAGGATATGGAAGATGGGGCCGTGACCTGGAGCTAAGATAGTTGGCTGAGGCCATATCATGAAGACCCTTGCATACGAAGGTGGGGATTCCATCCTGGAGGTAGGAACAGGAGTAGCTTTGATTTGGGAGAGGAAAGCTCTGCAGATGGTGTAAAAGGTAGGTTGGAGTTAAAAAAATTTTTTTTAAGTTCCATTTTAAGAAAAAAGAAGATAAAATAACATTTCATGAATTTTTTTCTGTCCTAATAAATATATGTTTCAACAATGCTTCTGTAGCTTGCGTAAAATAACGCTATAGTGTTTAAGCAAACTGTTACATGGGGAGATTTGAGGTTACTTGTGTTTTGTTTTGCCTTTTTCATCTATGAGTTATTGTAAACAGTTAGGCACAGATTCTAAATTACTTCCTTAAGATAAATCAGTAACGAAACTGCTGAGTTAAAGGTATGTACATTTTTCGGGCTTTAAATAAATCAGTTAAATTGTCCTCCGGAAAGGTTGTACCAATTTCTTCCCTACTAGGAGTGTTTAAGAATGCCCGTTTGCCCAGCACCCAGTATAGATCAGTACAGACATACAATAAGCAATATCTCACTGTATTAATGGACCTGTTTTTGCTACTGAAGTCACACGTTCTTTTTCATGGGGGGTGGTGGCGGGAGGAGAGGACATTTGTATTTCTTCTTTTGTGAATTACCTGTTGCCATTTACCCATTTTTCTACTGGTACGTTTGCCTTTTTATTTTCTTGCGCTGTAAGAGTTCTCTATATATTAAGGGCATCCTGTTGTTGCTATATGCGGTGTAAATAAGTTCTTTCAACTTATTATTGCTGTACGTGTCTAACTTCAATCCCTGGGAGAAGAGACAGATTTGAATCCTCCACGGCACATAGCTCAGTCTCTCTTCTGCGGCAGCTGCCCAACATATATGCCAAGATGAGCGAATTATTTTTGTCCAAGCTACTTTATGAAACTCATTCTGCTCCACTCCAGAAATGGAAGGGATCCATCAAACGTTCAGACTCCCCTTGCTCACAGCAGCATCAACACAGTCTCCTTGTTTCCTTCATTCATCTAACAAATGTTTACTGAGCCCCTGGTATGTGCCAGGTACTGTTCTTGGCACTAGGGAAACCATAATGGGCAAAATCTTTCATTCTAGTTGGAGGACTCAGATAATAAAGAAAACAAAATATGTATGACGTTCAATTGTGATCAGCACTATAAAGTACGTCAAAG
Source organism: Homo sapiens (assembly GCF_000001405.40). Taxonomy (NCBI): domain Eukaryota; kingdom Metazoa; phylum Chordata; class Mammalia; order Primates; family Hominidae; genus Homo; species Homo sapiens. The sequence goes on from NT_187688.1 coordinate 59,019, forward strand.
TACAGAAGGGGAGACTGAATTTGTAGGCAGCATGGTCATGGTAGACCTCGCTGAGAAGGGGCATGAAGGTGGAGGTAGAGGGTTTAGACAAGTGGATATGTAGAGGAGAAGGCTTCTGAGCAGACTAAGCAATGCACAGAAAGGTCCCAAGGCAAGAGCAGGCCCAGCGCATTAAAGGGACAAGAAAGACGTCCATGTGGCTGCGGTGCAGTCAGCAAATTAAGGAGGCAGGGGAGGGGCGCAGGTCGTGCACGGCTTTGCAGCTGTTGTCAGAGCTTTTCTTCTGAGTGAAATGGGAGGATTGGAGCAAAGAAGTGGTGTGTTCTGCCTTATGTTGTAAAAAGACAGCCCTGGCTGACACACTGGGACTAGACTGGGGTGGGGGCTGAGCTGGAAACAGGGAGACCTGTAGTAGTGCAGGTGAGAGATGATGGCATCGTGGACCATCTCGGTGGTAGCACTGGAGATGCTGAGGAGGGGCCACATTCTGGGCACAGTTTGATGGCCTTAGAGCCAGCAGAATTTCCTGGTGCAAAATGTGAGAGGAGAATAAAGAACGGTGCTGAGGATTTCGGCCTGAGCACCTGAAGGATGCAACTGACGTTAACTGAGATGGGGAAGATGCAGGTGGGGCAGGTCCAGAGGAAAAGATCAGAACTTCGATTTTAGAAATGTGGAGGCCAGGAGCAGTGCTCATTAACTGGAATCCCAGCACTTTGGGAGGCCGAGGTGGGTGGATCACTTGAGGTCAGGAGTTTGAGACCAGGCTGGCTGACACGGTGAAACTCCGTCTCTACTAAAAATACAAAAAATTAGCCGAGCATGGTGGTGGCACCTGTAGTCCCAGATACTCAGGAGGCTGAGGCAGGAGAATCACGTGAACCCAAGAGGTGGAGCTTGCAGTGAGCTGAGATCACGCCACTGCACTCCAGCCTGGGTGACAGAGCCAGGCTCCTTTCCATCTCAAAAAGAAAAAAAAAAAGAAAGAAATGTTGAATGTGAGGTATGTATTTCATCAACATCCAAGTGGAGAGATTAAGAATTGAAATGAATACACAGTATACATTAATAATAATAGCTGTATATAAGGCTGGGCACAGTGGCTCATGTCTGTAATCCCAGCACTTTGCGAGTCTGAGGCAGGAGGACTGCTTGAGCTCAGAAGATCGAGACCAACCTGGTCAACATGGTAAAGCCCCTTTTTTACAAAACAAAGTACAAAAATTAGCCAGCTGTGGTCCCAGCTCCTCAGGAGGCTGAGGTGGGAGGATCACTGGAGCTGGGAGGTGGAGGCTGCAGTGAGCCATGGTCGCACCACTGCACTGCAGTTTGGGTGAGAGTGAGACCCTGTCTCAATTTTAAAAAATAAATCGTTGTATCTAAGAGGTGGGATTATAGAAAAGTTTTTCTTTCTCCTCTTCCCACTTCTTACTTTGCTTGGTCTTTGGAATATTTCAAAATTTTGAAATCATAAACAAGTTTTACTTTTATTTTAAATTTATTTATTTATGAGACAGAGTCTTGCCCTTTTGCCCAGGCTGGGGTGCAGTGGTAGGATCTTGGGTCACTGCAACCTCTGCCTCCCGGGTTCAAGTGATTCTCCCGTCTCAGCCTCCTGGGTAGCTGGGATTACTGGCACCTGCCACCACACCCAGCTAATTTTCGTGTTTTTAGTAGAGACGGGGTTTCACCATGTTGGCCAGGCTAGTCTCAAACTCCTGACCTCGTGATCCACCGGCCTCGGCCTCCCAAAGTGCTGGGATTACAGGCGTGAGCCACTGAGCCTGGCCAAGTTTTACTTTTATAATAAAAAGTAAACCATATTAATTTTTTTAAAAAATAATAGCATGTAAGTTATAACATATAAGAGGAATAATTGAGGCTTGTGTCCAGAACTTGAAATTTAAATTTAGGTCAATTCCACATTCTCTGCGATCCCACTGCAGGCCAGACACTCTGCTAGTTCAGGGGATACTGAGATGAACAAAGGTGGTCCCTGCCCTGCCACAGCGGGCTGTTCGACAGGCTCCAGGCCCGTTTCAGTAAATGCTATCATCAAAGTCCAAACCAAGACCTGGGGGAGTAGAAGGAGGAGGTAGCAGTGAGACTATACACAATCCCTGTACTATAAAAATGGCGAAAGCATGCAGATCAATAGACAGCCTCTGGGCCACACTGAGTGAATTTTAATGCAGGATGGAAGCACACAGATGGGTGATCAGGTCTCTCTTTACTGAAACACAGAACATGTGCCAAGGTGAGTCCAAGGACACCTCTGGGAACAGGTGAAGCCCCTCCCCATACATACACTCCGGTGGATGTGAGCGAGGGTCCTGTTGCCACATCTGGGGTTAGGGGCTTGGACATGCTGCCCTTCATGGGAACCTTCTGGGTACCTCTCAGCACAGTAACGCAGCTGCAGTCTGTCGGTGGGGGCCCAGGCTAGGGGCAGCACCCTCTTTTGGCATACGGGACATGCCTGGCTGCAGCTGATGTCCGTTAGCCTCTCCTGACACGCAGTAAGGAGACCTGGAAGTGAGGCGCGTGGGCGTGGAGTTCCCGGTGGAGCTGGAGAGCAAAAGAGCCAGCTGTCCTTTCAGCCCATCTGGCCCATGAGCTCGCCAGAGGCAGAGGACAGGAAGGGACACTGGGGCAGAGTGCATGCGGAGGACGGCAACCCTTCCTGGGCCTCCTACATGCTGGACACAGGCTGGTGCCTCACACACATTATGTCATCTAAACCTCACAGCAACCTTATAAAGCAGGTGTTAGGATCCTCATTTTATAAGGGATGAAAGTCGCATAGAATAACTTATCCAAGATCACACAGTTGGGAACTAGAATTCACACCCAGATCTAGCTGGTTCCTAAGCTCATTGTCTAATCCCTGAGCCCAAACTGTTGGGCTGTCCCCGGACGAGAACTGATGCCCAACCCCATGTGGCCTGGTGCCTGCGCCTCAGCTGCCTGACCTGCTCCTGATCTCCCGGTTTCTTTCCGATTCCTGAAATCATTTCTGGTTTGGGGGCTTAGACCTGAGATTCAAAACTGGCTTCCCAGCCGGGTGCGGTGGCTCACGCCAATAATCCCAGTGCTTTGGGAAGCAGAGGCAGGTGGGTCACCTGAGGTCAGGAGTTCGAGACCAGCCTGACCAACATGGAGAAACCCCATCTCTACTAAAAATACAAAAATTAGCCAGGAGTGGTAGTGTGCACCTGTAATCCCAGCTACTAGGGAGGTTGAGGCAGGAGAATTGCTTGAATCCGGGAGGCGGAGGTTGCAGTGAGCCGAGATCGTGCCATTGCACTCCAGCCTGGACGACAGAGCGAGAATCTGTCTCAAGAAAAATAAAAGAAAAGAAAAGAAAAAGAAAAAGAAAAAGAAAACTGGCTTCCCAGCCGGGCGCAATGACTCAACGCCTGTAATCCCAGCACTTTGGGAGGCTGAGGTGGGTGGATCATGAGGTCAAGAGTTCAAGACTAGCCTGGCCAAGATGCTGAAACCTGAAACTCCATCTCTACTAAAAATACAAAAATTAGCCAGGTATGGTGGTGCGGGCCTGTAATCCCAGCTACTCAGAAGGTTGAGGCAGGAGAATGGCTTGAACCTGGGAGGCGGAGGTTGTGGTGAGCCAAGATCGCACCACTGCACTCCAGCTTGGATGACAGAGTGAGACTCAGTCTCAGAAAACAAAACAAAACAAAAGCAATTGGCTTCCCTCTCCCACAAGGATTCACACTCGCTACTTTGATTATCACATGCCGGGGGCATTTGTCACTTATTTGGCCATCGGGTGTCGAGCCCCCGTGCCATGTTTAGGGAACTCCTTACAGTGGGAGTCACGATCGGCCTCACTGCTGCTAAGAGAACTCCAAGGACGCAGACATCCCTTCTTCCCGTCCCCTGGCACCTGGCTGTGGGCTCATGGGAGTACAAGGGCTAAGCTCGGCCTATCAAATGTTCCTACTCAGGACTTTGGCTCTGGAGCAAAAAGTCCAGTGAGACAAAAAGGCAGCGAGAACCTATGTGAATGTGTGTGCAGGCCACGTGATGCCCCTTGGCTGTGGCAGCATCCAATAGTGACTGACCAGCAAGAGGGACAGTGTCCCAGCCAGCCTGATCCCACTGTCTGGACCCCAGAGCTCCTGGGGGCCCTCCTGCCTATTTTCCAAGCCTGCTGTCCTGGCATTGCTTTGATTCTATGCACTCTGGGACGCTGCCAACAAATCCCCCTTTTACTTACGACAGACAGAGGTTTTCTTTCGCCTGCAACAAAGGATCCCACTCTCCACGGACATATCTTGCTTCCCTCTGCTAAGGGCAATCATTCCACCTGTCCAGCCTGGCTATGAACTCTACACCTGGCATAAGACCCCCAGCCAGCATCTCTGCCAGGTTTACCCTTGCAAGGGATGACAGGAAGCCTGAGCCACTTTTCAGCAGTGTGGCACCCATTGACTGTGAGAGGTGCTGAATGCAAGCTTCAGGTATTAGCAAGGGCACTGTCCCATTGACTGTGAGAGGTGCTGAATGCAAGCTTCAGGTATTAGCAAGGGCACTGTCAAAGAGGCAATCCACATTAGACTGTGCACTGGGCCTGTTTTCACGGTTACATCTGTGAGCAGAGCTTAGACACTTCCCATCATGCCCCATCTGCTACTTTGTACCACACATTAGGAGAACAACCCACCCCTCAGTAAGGCCAGGCCCGTGACATCTGCACTGAGCTGACCCAGTCTAACCTCCAACAAGCCACACCATCCCCATCCTCAAAACCCTGACCCCGGAACTTTACCATTGGAAGTTCTATCCAGTGGGTTTTAGGAGAATTTTCCCAACTTGTACAAATACATCCCAATCATGGTCCTCATCTAGAGTATACATCTCTGCGGTTTTTTCTGCCTAGCCTCCCTATTTTCTTGGGGCTCATCCTTCCTCTATGGGATCCTGACTGGGTTGTCAGTCATGGTGACCCTTGCAGGCCATGGAGACCTGCACTTCCCCAGATGACATGAAAATTTGGGGAGAGGGGGCCGGGTGCGGTGGCTCATGTCTGTAATCCCAGCACTTTGGGAGGCCAAGACGGGTGGATCACGAGGTCAGGAGATTGAGACTATTCTGGCTAACACGGTGAAACCCCGTCTCTACTAAAAAAAAAAACATAAAAATTAGTTGGGCGTGGTGGCGGGCGCCTGTAGTCCCAGCTACTTGGGAGGCTGAGGCAGGAGAATGGCGTGAACCCAGGAGGCGGAGCTTGCAGTGAGCTGAGATCGCACCACTGCACTCCAGCCTGGGCGACAGAGCGAGACTTCGTCTCAAAAAACAAAAAGAAAGAAAGAAAAAGAAAAAAGAAAAGAAAATGTGGGGAGATGGAAGTCCCTTGTGAATCTATGGCTAACAAGGCTGCCTTTTCATACACATGAAGAAAGACTCTGAAGAATGAAGGGAGTAAAGCTAAGACAGGGAAAGAAAGAGAAAGTCCCTGTGATGGCGTTGGAGCTGCTGGATCCAGCCGTACTGAAGCTGAAGAGACACTTGTAGGTTTCTCAGACCTTGCCTTTTTTTTTTTTTTTTTTTTTTTTGCATAAACTGCCCTGACTTGGGTTTCTGCCACTTGCAACCAAGAGTCCGACCTACCCTCCCATCAGTATCACTGACCTTTGCCTCAGAGGCCAGAAGGCCAAGCTTCCAAGGACCAGAAGAAACTGGGGGCTCTAGGAGTCACATGTTTACATTGCAGAGAAGGAAATGAAGAACTCGGAGAAGGCAGGCAGAAGCAAAGCCAGGCAGAGATCCTCAGATTCAGCTCCCAATTCTCCGTAAGAAACGAGACTCCCTTCCAAGTGCGGTAGCTGCTCTTCTGTGTCCTGCGGGTCTTCCCTGCAGCCCCTGCGAACCTCGCCCCTTCCTCTACTCCCCTGGCCCGGAAAGTGCCCACTCACCTGCTGCATCAGCCTTTCTGCCACTCTGGGGTCAGTGAGGTCTTCCGGGGAAGCCACACTCAGCCGCAGGAGGAGGAAACCTCCATTTTCACCTGCAAATGGAGAACAGTAAGATGAAAATCAGGGCTGGGCGCAGTGGCTCACACCTGTCATCCCAGCACTTTGGGAGGCAGAGGCAGGTGGATCACCTGAGATCGGGAGTTTGAGACCAGCCTGACCAACATGGAGAAATCCCGTCTTTACTAAAAACACAAAATGAGCCGGGCATGGTGGTGCGTGCCTGTAATCCCAGCTACTCAGGAGGCTGAGGCAGGAGAATCGCCTGAACCTGGGAGGCGGAGGTTGTGGTGATCTGAGATCGCAGCACTACACTCCAACCTGGGCAACAAGAGCGAAACTGTCTCAAAAAAAAAAAAAAAAAAAAGAGGAGGATGAAATAGTCACATATATTTGCTTCCGTATGTACATTTCATGTGCAGAAAATTACACACAAGAGACAATCTCACGGGTTACATGTGTGGAGAGAACTGGGTGGGGGCACAGCCAGGGGAGAAAGGCATTTTATGGTGAACCTTTTCGTACCTTTCCATTTCAAATCATATGAATGTCTTATCTAATCAACAAATAATAAAGTATTTTTCTTTCCAGGGAAAAGAAGGAGCGATCAGACTGTCACTGTGTCTCTGTAGAAAGGAAAGACATGAGACTCCATTTTGAAAAAGACCTGTACTTTAAACAAGCTTTGCTGAGATGTTGTTAATTTGTAACTTTGCCCCAACCTTGAGCTCATAAAAACATGTGTTGTATAAAATCAAGGTTTAAGGGATCTAGGGCTGTGCAGGACGTGCCTTGTTAACAAAATGTTTACAAGCAGTATACTTGGTAAAAGTCATCGCCATTCTCTAGTCTCAATAAACCAGGGGCACAATGCACTGTGGAAAGCCGCAGGGACCTCTGCCCTTGAAAGCAGGGTATTGTCCAAGCTTTCTCCCCATGTGATAGTCTGAAATATGGCCTCGTGGGATGACAAAGACCTGACCGTCCCCCAGGCTGACACCCGTAAAGGGTCTGTGCTGAGGTGGATTAGTAAAAGAGGAAAGTCTCTTGCAGTTGAGATAGAGGAAGGCCACTGTCTCCTGCCTGCCCCTGGGAACTGAATGTCTCGGTATAAAACCCGATTGTACATTTGTTCAATTCTGAGACAGGAGAAAAACCACCCTGTGGCGGGAGGTGAGACATGTTTGCAGCAATGCTGCTTTATTATTCTTTACTCTGCTGAGATGTTTGGGTGGAGAGAAACATAAATCTGGCCTACGTGCACATCCAGGCATAGTATCTTCCCTTGAACTTAATTATGACACAGATTCTTTTGCTCACATGTTTCTTGCTGACCTTCTCCTTATTATCACCCTGCTCTCCTACTACATTCCTTTTTGCTAAAATAATGAAAATAATAATCAATAAAAACTGAGAAAACTCAGAGACTGGTGCCGGTGCAGGTCCTTGGTATGCTGAGCGCCGGTCCCCTGGGCCCACTGTTGTTTCTCTATACTTTGTCTCTGTGCCTTATTTCTTTTCTCAGTCTCTCATCCCACCCGACTAGAAATACCCACAGGTGTGGAGGGGCAGGCCACCCCTTCACTTTCCAGAGCAGTTTAGCTACCATCTTCAACCCTGTCAGATGGGGTCGTGTTACCCACCTCCTAAGGCTGTTTTGAAGGTTAAATAGAGGAGATAACATATGCAAAGCTGGTGGCACACTGCCTGGCATCATAACATATGCAAAGCTGGTGGCACACTGCCTGGCATCAGATAACATATGCAAAGCTGGTGGTACACTGCCTGGCATCAGATAACATATGCAAAGCTGGTGGTATACTGCCTGGCATCAGATAACATATGCAAAGCCGGTGGCACACTGCCTGGCATCAGATAACATATACAAAGCCGGTGGCACACTGCCTGGCATCAGATAACATATGCAAAGCTGGTGGCACACTGCCTGGCACCGGAGAGAACGTTCTGCTGGGGCCAGTGCTTACTGGGTGTGAAACATGTTTATATCACCCCTGCCTATAACATGAAAGATATTCAATAATATCTTTATGTATTGAGTGGTTGTGATTAATATTTGTATTCCCACCTCCCCCAGAAAGGTGGTAACAAGCTGCGGATACACAGAGATGAGGCCCAAGGGCAGAGTGACAGGAAGTGGAGGTGGAGGCTACAGGCTGACCAGAAGCTGGACTGACCAAGCAGCCTCTGACAATGAACTTCTCCCCTGAGAAGTCCCTGTTGCCTCAGAGATGTAGCTTTAAACTCCCAAGCCTTCGCTGTATTTGCTTATTTTATCTTACCTTTTTTTTTTGAGACGGAGTTTCACTCCGTCTCAGCTCACTGTAACCTCCACCTCCCGGGTTCAAGTGATTCTCCTGCCTCAGTCTCCCAAGTAGCTGGGATTACAGGCGCCCACCACTGCGCCCAGCTAATTTTCATATTTTTAGTAGAGATGGGGTTTCACCATGTTGGTCAGCCTGGTCTCGAACTCCTGACCTCAGGTGATCCGCCGGCCTCTGCCTCCCAAAGTGCTGGGATTACAGGCATAAGCCACCGCTCCAGGCCTGTATTAATTTATTTTAAGTCACTATCTATGGCATAAATCCCAGGAAATGCATCCAGCAGGCCCCACTTTCATGGGGTCCCAGCCTGTCAGAGAGCAGCAGCTTGGGCCTGATGCCTGCCTGCTGCTCCTCTGTGTGGCTATGGCTGGAATAGAAGCTTCCAGAGCTGCTCAACAGTGCACTTCACAGAAGGTCAGAGCTGGACAGGACTTCAGTGCCCATTCCAACCCTCTCCAAATACAGGTGGAGAAACTGAGGCCCAGAGAGGGACAGGGACTTGCCCAAGGTCACTCGGGTTGTTACAGGCAGAGCCGAGACCGCAAACCATTTCTCCGGACTTCCATCCCCACCCCTTTCCATACACAACCCTCCATCTGCCTTTTCCTGATTTCGCCAAGAACCACTAGAAGATCACGAAGAGGCAACAGCAGGAGCAGGCTCTGAGTAGGCTCCAGATCCTTCCCTCCTCTCCACTCCTCAAGTGCGGAGACGTCCTGGAAACTCCGCATCCCAAATCCCCGAAGATCACCAGCAGGAGCCACTTACCTGCACTCACGTCTGTGGTCGGCCTCGTCCGGGCAGTCGTGGGCGTGGCTGTTGGGGGCTTCATCGTGGTCTTCGCTGAGGTTGTGATCTTGGCTAAGGTGCTGTTCGTCCCTCGGCTGCTGTTGGTTGTAGTCGGAGGGACAGAAGGAAGAGGGTCCCTGCTGGTGGGGAAGGGCCCCTTGGTTGCGATGTCCATGGTCGGTGTCTCTGAAGGGGTGAAGTTCTTGAGGGCGGCTTCCGAGGGGCTGTAGGAGGAAGCAGAGCTCCCAGCAAAGGAAGTTGTTTTGCCCACTGCTGACCCAGCCTCTATGGAGACCGGAGCTGCTCCTGAGACTTTGACGTAACTTGGTGTCTCAACAGAGAGGGCTGAGGTTTCTTCCAGGGGATTCCTGCTAACTGTGACCAGAGCTCCACTGAGGGTCGTGGCCCCGGGTGCTGTCACTTCTCTTTCTGTGGCGCTGTTAGTGGGGAGTGGGGTCCCAACCGTGGCATGAGGTGCAGCTGACTCTGTGGTGCCGGCTGTGGACAGGGTCTCGGCAGAGGCTGTGACCTCAGTGATGTGTGGTTTTGCTTCAGTGGAGTCAGGCAGAGCTGGTGGATCGGAGGTGGACGAGGCCTTCACCCCTTCCGTGGGGATGAGATCTATGTCTGAGGCCCCAGGGATGCTGGAAGTTGTTGTTTCTATTTCTGTGATGCTGCAATTAATAACCTCGATGTTTGTGACAGTCACCAGGGCTTCAGCGAGGAGAGTGACATCAGATCCCGGGGACCATGACGGGGTGATGACTGGATGGGGGCCGTCGGAAGAGGCGCTGCTCTCTGAGGCCCGTGACGGGGTGATGACTGGATGGGGGCCGTCGGAAGAGGCGCTGCTCTCTGAGGCCCGTGACGGGGTGATGACTGGATGGGGGCCGTCGGAAGAGGCACTGCTCTCTGAGGACAGGCCCTTAGCTTCTGTGGAGGTGTGAGCCAATGTCAATATGTCCATTGTGAGTGTCTTTGCCTCTTCAGAGCTGTCATCGGTGCAAAGGGTGTCAAAGATGGCTTCCTCGGGATCACTGCCTGTGATGGTCTGAACTGTGGTCATTCCAGCTCCCTCGGGGCTGCCACTGGCGGCTGATGTCTCCACGGAGGTGGCGATCAGCACCATGAAGTTGGGAGATGTTTTTGTGAAACTCCTGGTCTCTCTTGCAGGGGAAATTCTCTTGGCTCCCCTGGTCTCTGCTTCTGGAATGGGGCCGGCTGGGGTTGAGGCCCTAGAAGAGGTCTCAGCGCTCAGCGTTTGAGTTTCCAGAGCGGCGTGGCCCGGTGCTAGAGTCATAGCGGGCACTTCTGTGTCGTCCGTTGTCATCGCAGTGTCTGCTCTGCGGGTGCTGGGGCCTGTGTTGGTTAAGACTGACTTGGTGAGCCTGGGTTCCAGTGGACTTCACACAAGCTATTGCATTTACACCCTGGGCACTTCTGGGAGGAGGGTGGGGCAGGGGAGTGCCGTTACCTCATTTTTCATCTACATAAGCGAACAAGAAGGAGGCAGTCCTGGGAAGCCCAGGCCTGTGTGGCAGCCATGGAGCTGGGGTTGCCATGACTGGCGTCCTCTGAAACCCTGACAACTCACTTGGGGCCAGCAAGCCCCAGGATCTGCTGGCTATCGGCCTGCGTCTTTAAGAGGGGATGTGTGGGGCCAGCGTCCACCTTCCAGGGTGAGCCAAGAAGGCAGACCAGCGTCCAGGACTCGCAGAGCTTTCTGAACCTCTGTCGCCTTCCCCGGGTACTTTTCTCATCCAACACATAGTTCCCCATGGAAGTAAAAACCCTTAAAAGACGAGAAAGGCCTATGATTGTGCCTTTCGGGGTAGCTGGGTGGATTGAGGCGGGGGAACCTCCAGAGACAGGGTGGGCAGTGCTGCTGCCAAAGCGAGGGAGCCGGCAGAGTCCTTGGGGCTCCGGCAAGGGAAAGACGGCACCCCCCACCCTGCCGAGGCCCCTCCTGAATGAGGGCCGAGAACTGCAGGGTTGGAGCCTGGGAACCATGGAAACCGTGGCCAGGCATTTTCCACAGGACACCGGGAGCCCCTGAGGCAACACCTAGCTTTTCAGAGAGCGGCTGCCGGCACTTCTGCCCAGAGCAGAGGCCTGTTCCCTTGACTGGCCCTGAGGTGGGAGGAATGGGAGTCCCCGAGGGAGGCTACGGTAGGATATCTTCCCTAGAGACAGGGTCTTGCTCTGTTGCCCAGGCAGGTCTTGAATTCCTGGGCTCAAGCGATCCTCCTGCCTCAGCCTCTTGAGTAGTTTACTACAAGATCTTTTCTGGCCTGAGAAAGGGGGCCTCCCCTGTCTAGAGGGAGATCGGGCTCTCCCTGTGAGTGGGCCAAGGAGCCTCTTGGAGAGGGTTTCTAGATTTAGCAAATAAAAATACAGGGTACTCGGTTAAATTTGAACTCGCAGTTCAGATAAATGACGAATAACTTTTTAGCATGAGTATTTCTCATGCAATATTGGCTACGTACTTACACTTAAAAAAAAATTGTTACCTGAAATTCAAATGTAACTGGATGCCCTGTGTTTTATCTGGTAATCCCAGTCTTGGAAGGAAAAGGATCAAATACGAACCCCCTAATTCTCTGAGCCTTCTTGGTGCAGCCCACACAGCTGGAAGCCCAAAGGTGGCGCTCTTGGAGTCTGACCTCCCCTGGCACAGGGTTTGAGATGGTCTTTACCCGGCTCCACTGGCCCAAAAGTAGCTCATAGACCCAAAAGAGGCCTAGCACCTCTCCCCAGGACGTCAGGATGGGGCTCCAGGTCCCCAGCTGGTTGTCCTGTGGACCTCAGGGAATGACGAGGCAGGAGTCAAGAGCCTCGGTTGCAGCTCCCGCTGTGCCGCCCACGACCGGCTCTGGGGTCAGATGATCTGCTGGTTCAAATCCTGACTCAGCCTCCTACTAGCCAGGCCAGTCTCTAGACCCCTCCCAGCCTCCATGTCCTCACCTGAGAAAACAGGGTCACAATACCTGCCTTGCCAACGTGGTGAGGACCAGCGGAGAAGATGAAAGGGCTTATATTCCAAAGCCCACAAGGTAAGCATCCCTCCCCATGGAGTCCTCTCCCGGGCCCCTGGAAAGCACGCATAGTCGATTTGACTATAGTGAGGAGTGCGGGCTGCACCCCCAGGCAGTATAGGCGAGTCCCGGGCACCCACTCTCATCCCTGGTCCAGTGCGGCCCAGCTGCACACACAAATCTCACCTTTGCAGGAACTGTTCGTCTGCCTTCATAATACAGTTTCTTCTCCCCACTTCAAGCCTGAGATCATTTCTCTGAGCCTTCTTGGTCCAGCCCACACAGCTGGAAGCCCAGAGTGGTGCCCTTGGAGCCCGACTTCCCCTGGCACATTTTCTGGCTTATCCAGGAGCCCCGGGGTGTCCTTTCTGCTGTGAAACCTCCTCATGCTCCCCAAGCCCACAGCCTCTCGGGTCCAAGGGGGTCTTCTCGAATACAGCAAATCCCAGCCCAGCCCCCTCAGTAGCTCTGGAACACTGCGGCTCTCCTGGTACAATCTTCAAATCTGGTGGAGAGGAAAGCGTGTGGACTTGGGACCCTGAGTTGGAGAATCTGCTCTCTGCCCTGTGACCCTGGCCAAGTCTCTCAGCTCCAAGCCTGCATTTCCGCACCTGTAAGGTGGAGCTAACGGGACACGTGCAGCGCAGACCAGGCCACGGTGAGCACAGGCAGGAGGCCACGGGGTGCAGTGCTCAGGCCTGTGAGGAGTCAGATTCTGGCTCCGAGGAGTTGTTACTGGATGCCCAGAAGCACAGTGGCCTCATCCTTAAAGCAGTGGAGGTGGGGGGTGGTAAGAACAGGGCCGATCTTGCAGGGCCGTTGTGAGGATTAAAAATACAATGTATGATAATGATGCATCAAAGTAGGTTCCTCAGTCCTATCAAATGTGCCACTCTGGTGGGGGACGCTGATGATGGGGGAGGCTGTGAGTGGTGGGGATGGGAACTCCAGACTCTCCACTGCAGCTTTTTTTTTTTTTTGAAACACAGTTTCACTTTTGTTGCCCAGGCCAGAGCGCAACGGTGCGATCTCAGCTCACTGCAAACTCCACCTCCCAGGTTCAAGCAATTCTCCTGCCTCAGCCTCCCGAGTAGCTGGGATTACAGGCACCTGCTACCACCCCCGGCTAATTTTGTATTTTTAGTAGAGACGGGGTTTCTCCATGTTGGTCAGGCTGGTCTCGAACTCCTGACCTCAGGTGATCCACCCACCTCAGCCTCCCAAAATGCTGGGATTACAGGTGTGAGCCACCACGCCCGGCCTCTCCACTCGAGGTTTAGAGGGAGCATAGAACTGCTCTAAAAAAAAAATAAATCCTTTTCTATTTTTTAATGTATGTGATGAGTTTGGCACAACTCCTATTAGCGACAGGTCAGGGTTCATTCCCGTCTTTCACAAAAGCCCTGCCTGTCAGCATCCACCCTTCCCAAGCAGTTTGTGGCAGTTGGACTTTTCACACGAAATCTGTATTTTGAAGGAAATCCATGCTAGGTAATAAACTGGGAGGAGTCAGAATCTTGTTAAGCCACATTCTTCAGCTTTCTGCACAATGATCACCAGCTGGCACCTCCCTGCACCCCCGCTCCGTGCCCCACTTACTGTCCCACGTTCATAAACAGAAACTCTCAGCCACCCCTTACGATGGCAGCGTCATGTTTGATTAGTGTGTACTGCAGCGCCAGGCACGCTTACACTCACACACATCGTCATGGTTGATTAGTGTGTACTGCAGCGCCATGCACGCTTACACTCACTCACACTGTCATTTGCACACTCTTTATCAACAATAATAGCACTTCACAAGTAGCACTGTGGTTCATTATAATCAACCCGAGAGAGCCTGCCCTTGCCCATGAAGGGTGGCTCATACTGAAATTCACTCCCAGAGCCCTACTAGGGGAGAGGCCCACCAGGCCCTTCTAGGCCTCCTTACCTGCAGAGCTCCCAGAGACCCCAACCTCCCAGCAGAAGAAGAAAAGGGGCAGAGCCAGACCCCAGAGACAGCCCATCCTAGCCGGCCACCGCTGCTCCACAGAACTGCTGGCTGTCTCTCGCGGGTACCTTTTCCTGCTTCCTCAAACCAGGGAGGAGGGGCAGCCTCCTGCCCAGGTGTGTGACCAGGTGATCACAAATGTGCAGGCTGAGGGCTGGCAGGTTGAGGCTGTCAGCAAGCTGACCCCCCTGCCTTCCTTGCCCGGTAAACACTCCACTGAAATTTGATTTGAAGATATGGAATCACTAGCTTTTTTTTTTTTTTTTGAGATGGAGTCTTGCTCTGTCACCCAGGCTGGAGTGTACAGTAATGAGATCTCAGCTCAATGAAACCTCTTCCTCCCGGGATCCAACAATTCTCCTGCCTCAGCCTCTGGAGTAGCTGGGATTATAGGCGCGCACCACCACGTCCGGCTAATTTTTGTATTTTTAGTAGAGATGGGGTTTCACCATGTTGGCCAGGCTAGTCTCAAACTCCTGACCTCAGGTGATCTACCTACCTCAGCCTCCCAAAGTGCTGGGAGTACAGGCATGAGCCACTGCACCCAGCCAAGTGCTTTTATTTTCTTAAGCCAATTAATTAGAGCTCTTTTATATATTTTCAGTAGCAAAACACTGTGTACACAACAACACATAAATACACAGATGTATTAGGTATGCTGAAAGAAGTTCATCTTATAGATTCATAAAGAGCTTTTTTCTTACACCTTCAAATTCTTTTTTACTTTTTTTTTTTTTTTTTGAGACAGAGTCTCACTCTGTTGCCCAGGCTGGAGTGCAATGGCTTGATCTCGACTCACTGCAACCTCTGCCTCCTGGCTTCAAGTGATTCTCCTGCCTCAGCTTCCTGAGTAGCTGGGATTATAGGCACCTGCCACCACACCTGGCTAATTTTTTTTGTATTTTTAGTAGAGACGGGGTTTCAACATGTTGGCCAAGATGGTTTTGAACTCCTGACCTCAAGAGATCTTTGCGGCTCAGCCTCCCAAATGCTAGGATTACAGACGTGAGCCACCGTGCCCAGCCACACCTTCGAATTCTTGATAACCTGTTTTACTACTCTAAGCGGTTGTCAGCTAAATAGCCTTGAATTTGCATTTTAAGGAAACTGAGGTGAAAATCGAATAGCAAAATTTACATCATAACGTATGGAGAGAAAAAGTCTGGTGTGCTGGAGGGAAATTAAAACAGATTTAATTGCCAATTAAACATAAAATTATAGAAATTATAAAGGCCTTTTAAATATATACACACACACAAAGATCCTATAGCTTTTACTTCAGAAATTTAGCCATGAAAGCTGGGCGCGGTGGCTCACGCCTGTAATCCCAGCACCTTGGGAGGCCGAGGCGGGCAGATCACCTGAGGTCAGGAGTTGGAGACCAGCCTGACGAACATGGAGAAACCCCATCTCTACTAAAAATACAAAAAATTAGCCAGGCGTGGTGGTGCATGCCTGTAATCCCAGCTACTCGGGAGGCTGAGGCAAGAGAATCACTTGAACCAGGGAAGCGGAGACTGTGGTGACCCAAGATCACGCCATTGCACTCCAGCCTGGGCAACAAGAGTGAAACTCTGCCTCAAAAAAAAAAGAAAAAAAAAAGAGAAAGAAAAGAAAAAAAGAAATTTAGCCATGAAATAAATACAAATTCACCAGTTTACAAACAGAAAAACTATCTGATCCAAACAGTGTTTTTTATCTTAATAGGAAAATAACAGCAAATTTAAAGCAGGCAGAGAAGAAACTAGAGAAAAAAGAGGACTCAGGAACTCTACAGTTTGCAGGTCAACCTCAGGGCTCCTTTTTTTTTTAATGTAAATGTGCAGAAAGACCATATTACTTCCACTTTACGTAAACTCTGGCAAGTAGAGGCGCCATGAACCCTATGGAGTACTCGGCTGGGAGGAGCAAACGCCCTTTCTCTTTGGAGCTGAGAAAACTCAATCTCTCATTTACCTATGACAACAACAGTTCAGTTCCTCATGCAAATACATAGACAACCCAAACTGAGATTCATTTTGGGAGAAAAAGCAATAGAGAAGACCCTTTAGGATGCATCTCTGAACTAGAATTAGGATCCTTAAATCACAGCTTCCTAGAAGAGAAAAAAAAAAAAAAAAAACAGCCAAGACCATTCCCTGTAAACTGTGCTCAGCCACCCCTTCTTTGTAGTTCTCGTCTGCCATTACACACGCCAAGGTCAAATCCTCTCACAGTGCAGGGTCATCTCTGGTTCCCCCAAAGCCAAAGAGGTCAGGTCATGCCGTACAGGAAGACAGCAGAGCTTTAGACCTAAGAAGAATCCGCCCATCACTCTTGAAACTCCACAAAGAAAACAGAGCACCCTGGAAGGGGTGAGTGGCCCCTTTGTTCCGGATCCTTTAAAGGGGCTCGAGTCATTGGAAGCCTTCTCTAGATTTTTTTGGTCCCGCAGATGGCAAAGGCAGGAGGAGGTATAGGGAGGAAGAAAAGTAAGTGAAAGAGCATTTGTTGTTTTTGTTTGTTTGTTTTTTAAGACAGAAAGCAAACACAGAAACCAAGCACGTGATTTGTTGGTTTTTTTCGTTTAGTTTTTTCCTCTTTTGCAGCTGCAAGGAATTTTAGCCAAATTAGAGAGGCTTTGTTACCCATAATTTGGAATTCTCACTTGGATTTGACCAAGTCAGGTAGAGTTGGTCAAATCTGATGAGAGAAAGACCAGAAAAAACAACAACAACAGAAGTCAAATGATATGAACACAGACTGCTCTAATGGGAAGAAGAAATTCAGACCAGCTGGTTGTTAACCTTCAGCCAAGACAAAACCTCAGTTCAGCTACTTACCTAGGGATGGGTCTCAGGCTGAAGACTGCTCTCTACCATCCTTGAAGCAGGAAAAAAACTCGAACTTGTCTTCCCTGCTGGGAGCAAGCTCAAACTCCATAAAAGAGTTGTCAGCCTTCCATCATCACGGACCCAGGAAATCTTGCCTTCCTTCTTGGAAGCAAATAAAACTCCAAAAGAAGGGGAGGGGGAGTTGTACATCAAATAAACTTTAGATCACGACCAAGTTTTGAGAGATCAGGGACTCTCTGGAGGGGGTGCTCCCAGACCTCAGCAAATTGTCCTGTTGGTTTGAGCCATAAGGTTAGCTCATGCTGCTACCAAGCACCAATAGATCTGTCAAAGGTCAGGGGCACCTCAACTCAGAATCCCTCCATGGTTACCAAAATGTGAACCCCCCAAATCTGAGACAGGTCTCAGTTAATTTAGAAAGTTTATTGTTCCAAGGTTGAAGATGCACACCCGTGACACAGCCTCAGGATGTCCTGACGACATGTGCCAAGGTGGTCATACGTTTTAGGGAGACATGAGACATCAATCAACACATGTAAGATGAACATTGGTTCAGTCTGGAAAAGGCCGGGCAACGCCAAGCAAACGTGGGACAACTCGCAGCCAGGAGAAAGCTTCCAGGTCACAGGTGGGTGAGAGACAAAGGTCGCATTCTTTTGAGTTTCTGATGGGCCTTTCCAAAGAAGGCAATCAGATATGCATCTATCTCAGTGAGCAGGGGGTGATTTTGAATAGAATGGGGGGCAGGTCGGCCCTAAGCCATTCCCGGCTTGACTTTCCCCTTTAGCTTAGTGACTTTGGGGGCCCAAGATTTATTTTCCTTTCACAAAACAATAAACATAACAAATAAGTGAATTATAGAAAGGTGAAAACTATGGAAAAAAAAGAAAAACAGGGAGAAAGAATCCTGAACACTGACGTGGGGAGGGCAGGTGCCAGCTGCAGTACTAAATAGCAGAGGGGAGGGCAGGTACCAACTGCAGTACTAAATACTGGTGTGGGGAGGGCAGGTGCCAGCTGCAGTACTAAATACTGCTGTGCGGAGGGCAGGTGCCAGCTGCAGTACTAAATAGCAGAGGGGAGGGCAGGTGCCAGCTGCAGTACCAAATACTGGTGTGGGGAGGGCAGGTGCCAGCTGCAGTGCGTGGGGAGGGCAGGTGCCAGCTGCAGTGTGTGGGGAGGGCAGGTGCCAGCTGCAGTACTAAATAGCGGGGGAAGATTTTTTTCTGAGCAACTTTGAGTCACTGCTCACATCTCATGCCAATGTATTAATCCCAAGTCAAGGGTCAGATGAGGCACTCGGATCTCTCCAGTTGCCAACACAGCTCTTCCAAGTGTACTTTACTTCCTTTCATTCCTGCTCTAAAACTTTATTTATGTATTTATTTTTGAGACAGAATCTTGCTCTGTCGCCTGGGCTGGAGTGCAGTGGCACAATCCCAGTTCACTGCAACCTCTGCCTCTGGGATCAGGCAATTCTCCTGCCTCAGCTTCCTAAGCAGCTGGGATAACAGGTGTGCACCACCGTGCTTGGCTAATTTTTTTTTTCTTTTTTCGTATTTTTAGTAGAGATGGGGTTTCACCATATTAGCCATGATGGTCTCGTACTTCTGACCTCAGGTGATCCACCTGCTTTAGCCCCCCAAAGTGCTGGGATTACAGGTGTGAGCCACCACGCCCAGCCCTGGCCAACTTTTGTTTTTTTTGAGACAGAGTTTCATTCTTATTGCCCAGGCTGGAGTGCGATGGCCCAATCTTGGCTCACTGCAACCTCTGCCTCCCAGGTTTGTAGGATATAATAAATTCTTCTTCAAAGGTTTTAGCCTGTAAATTGTTAAGTACAATGAGTTCTGAGATCCTCTCCAAAGAATCAATGTATCAGTATGTTCAGCTCTTCATTTTAAAGTTTAACTTCCTCGTTTTCTTCATCTCCTTGCCCCTAGTTTCAGTAAACAACCCCCTCCTAGCCTCTATCACCTGCTCCATCCTGAGTCACCCCCAGTCACCTGCTCTAATCTGAGTCATCCTGAGTCAACAGGGTTTCACCATGTTGGCCAAGTTGGTCTCGAACTCCTGACCTCATGTGATCCGCCCACCTCAGCTTCCCAAAGTGCTGGGATTACAGGCGTAAGCCATCGTGCCTGGCCAGTTTTCACTTTAAAATGATCTCTAATACCAACTCTTGGGGTCCAAATGGGTCCCCACTGGTTTCAAATGTTGAGCATGCACAGATTATGTGGATGAGAACTTGCCAGGTGGGCTTACCGAAGGAGACGTGGTAAGAATCGCCTACATTTGCCAGGCCCTGAGGACAGGCCCTCTCCACACCGAGGCTTATTTCCTTGGGTTGCAGAAGAGGAAACGCCAGGGAGCCCAGTATTCTTTGGTTCATTCACTTCTTTTTTATGTTGTAACCTACATACTGTAAACTACGCCCAGCTTAAGTAGCGTATACCCTGATGAATTTTTATGTACGTATGTATCCCCAGGATGTATCCGACACTCAGGTCAAGATACAGAACGTGCTCAGCACCTCAACAGGTGCCCTTGTGTTCCCTTCCAGTCAAGCCCCCACTTGCCACCACAGAATGGAACAATCATTTTTTTTTATTTTTTATTTTTTATTTTTTTTTTTTTTTTAGAGACAGGGTCTCGCTCTGTCTCCAAAGCTGGAGTGCAGCTCCATCATGGTTCACTGCAGCCTCCGCCTCCTGGGTTTGAGCGATCCTCCCATTTCAGTGTAACCACCATTCTTATCTCTATCACCATAGATTAGCTCTGCATGTCTTTGAACTTCATATAAATGGAATCATGCATAGATAGGCTCTTTTGTGTCTGGATTCTCTCTGTTAACACTGTGTCTGTGAGACTCACTCACGCTGTGTGTAGTATTATGCTTCATCCTTTTTTGTTGTTGCATAGTATTCCACTGTATAAATATACCACAATTTATTTGTCTGTTTTCCAATTGCTGTGCATTTGGATTGTTTTGTTTTTCACTATTTTGAATAAAGCTGCTATGAACATCCTTGTATATGTCTTGGGTATACAGATGGTCCTGGCTTACAATGATTGGATTTAAAATTGTTTGACTTTATGATGGGCTTATCAGGGTATTAAATGTGTTTCTGACTTACAGTATTTTTGACTTACCACGTGTTTATTGGGACGTAACCCCTTCCTAAGATGAAGAGCATCTGTATACATCCAGAATCCTGTGGAGCAACTCATAACCCATGAGGAATGGAAGCCGACAGACAGACTCATCCCCAGGACAGATGGTTCTCACTACATCTCATAAAGCTTCTTAGAAGATCTTACAGGATTGAGCAACCAGCCAGCCACAGCAGGGGCCAACTGGATAACACGTCTTTGCACAGGCTCTCCCTCTGTCCCTGTCACCCTCCCCTTTTCCTAACCTTGTTCCTTGGGATTATGTTTTGAAATAAATTATTCAGAGAAATGAAGCCAAAGCTGACCCATTAGCCAATAGCTAGGTTCTGTGATGACAGAGCTTCTGGGCTATAATCGTTTACTGAGAAGCCAGCGTTCCTGAGGGGATAATGGCTCGTTCCATTCAGCTGCAGCATAGGAGTGAGGGCAGGGCATTAGCAGAAGATAACACCAGAAACGTGCTCTGGGGCCTGTTGATGACTTTCTGTGCCAAGCGTAGACATTTAGCCTTTATTCTGTATGTGATGGGAAGCCAGTGCCAGTGGTGGGTTTGAGCAGGGAACCAGCAACCAGTGGTGGGTTTGAGCAGGGAACCAGCAATACTCAAGCTCTGCTTGGATGGAGGCCAGTCAGGGAGGAGTTAGGGCAGGAGGACCAGTCAGGGAGGAGACTTAGGGCAGGAGGACCAGTCAGGGAGGAGACTTAGGGCAGGAGGACTGGTCAGGGAGGAGTTAGGGCTGGAGGACGGGTCAGGGAGGAGACTTAGGGTAGGAGGACTGGTCAGGGAGGAGACTTAGGGCAGGAGGACTGGTCAGGGAGGAGACTTAGGGCAGGAGGACTGGTCAGGGAGGAGACTTAGGGCAGGAGGACCGGTCAGGGAGGAGACTTAGGGTAGGAGGACCGGTCAGGGAGGAGACTTAGGGCAGGAGGACCGGTCAGGGAGGAGACTTAGGGCAGGAGGACTGGTCAGGGAGGAGACTTAGGGCAGGAGGACTGGTCAGGGAGGAGACTTAGGGCAGGAGGACAGGTCAGGGAGGAGACTTAGGGCTGGAGGACGGGTCAGGGAGGAGACTTAGGGCAGGAGGACTGGTCAGGGAGGAGACTTAGGGCAGGAGGACGGGTCAGGGAGGAGTTAGGGCTGGAGGACTGGTCAGGGAGGAGTTAGGGCTGGAGGACTGGTCAGGGAGGAGTTAGGGCAGGAGGACAGGTCAGGGAGGAGTTAGGGCTGGAGGACGGGTCAGGGAGGAGTTAGGGCAGGAGGACTGGTCAGGGAGGAGTTAGGGCAGGAGGACTGGTCAGAGAGGAGTTAGGGCAGCAGTATCGGTCAGGGAGGAGTTAGGGCAGGAGGACCGGTCAGGGAGAAGTCAGGGCAGGAGGACTGGTCAGAGAGGAGTTAGGGCAGGAAGCCTGTCTGGGAGGAGTTAGGGTAGGAGGACCAGTTAGGAGGCAGTGACTTAGGACTTCAGCAGTGGCACTAGAAAGGGGATGGATATGAACGACATTGCAAAGTAAAACTAGAGAGACGGCCGGGCACAGTGGCTCACTCCTGTAATCCCAGCACTTTGGGAGGGCAAGGCGGGTGGATCATGAGGTCAGGAGATCGAGACCAGCCTGGCCAACATGGTGAAACCCTATCTCTACTAAAAAAAAAAAAAAAAATAGCCAGGCGTGGTGGCGGGCGCCTGTAATCCCAGCTACTCCAGAGGCTGAGGCAGGAGAATTTGCTTGAACCAGGGAGTCGGAAGTTGCAGTGAGCTGAGATCGCACCACTGCACTCCAGCCTGGGCAATAGAGTGAGACTCCGTCTCAATAACAAAACAAACAAACAAAAAACTAGAGAGACTTGGCACCTTGCAGAGAGAAGCAAAAGATGACCCTGAGGTCTGGAGTCCAGGAAGCCAAGGACAGCAAAAGCATCCACAGAAACAGGAAAACGGCAGGTGTGGGAGGGAAGGTGAGAGGTTCATCAGACTCCACAGCCCCTGGCAGCGCCTCCTGGATCTTTGAAATCCTGTGCACCCCAGGAGACTCCGGGAGGCCCATCTGAGCTCACCGGAGACAGGTCTGCCGTCTCTCCTCTCATCACTGGGGACAGAAAGCCTGAACATGAGGCCTGGACTACGGGGCTCAGACCAGAATATTTCCAGACTTAAGGGCAGTAATGTGGAGCCCAGGAAGGAATATTGAGGACAGAGGGCACATTACTTAGCTCAAGGGGTGCTGGGTTCTTATTTTCTACTTTCAAGAAATGTTTGCTATAGTCACTCTAACCACCACAAAACAGTGAATAATACCATGAGCCAAATGTATGTTTCACAATTTGTATGGCTGATTCTACGCACATTTAAATGTGTTTATGACAATTGTAGATTTCGGTTTTCCTCTGGTTAAACCAATGTGGAAGTACACAGGATGGGAGCTGAGAGACAAGCATCCTGGGCCCAGCCATGCTGGCCTCAGTGGGCCAAGCTGGGGACAGATGACCTCTGCTCCGTGGATCCTGCTGGCTCAGGGTGGGGAAGGGGCCTCAGGAGAGGAGTCAGGCTCTCTTCTTTATTCTCCTCACAGCCATGGTGAATGGCATTCCTGGGAGGCTGGTTTGGAGAACTCGCTGAACCTAAGTGAGCAGGAAGTGAAGGTCTGTTCCCACCTGTGCCTGTGTTCCCAGATAGCAGCTGCCTCCAGGAGACTCACCAGGAGCCAGGTCCCTCCATACCTGATCTCAATTAACTCACTCACCAGGAGCCAGGTCCCTCCATACCTGACCTCAATTAACTCACTCACCAGGAGCCAGGTCCCTCCATACCTCACTCACCAGCAGCCAGGTCCCTCCACACCTCATCTCAATTAACTCACTCACCAGGAGCCAGGTCCCTCCACACCGGGTCTCAATTCACTCACTCGCCAGGAGCCAGGTCCCTCCATACCTCATCTCAATTAACTCACTCACCAGGAGCCAGGTCCCTCCACACCTCATCTCAATTAACTCACTCACCAGGAGACAGGTCCCTCCATACATCATCTCAATTAACTCACTCACCAGGAGCCAGGTCCCTCCACACCGGGTCTCAATTCACTCACTCACCAGGCGCCAGGTCCCTCCACACCTCATCTCAATTAACTCACTCACCAGGAGCCAGGTCCCTCCATACCTCATCTCAATTAACTCACTCACCAGGAGCCAAGTCCCTCCAAACCTGATCTCAATTCACTCACTCACCAGGAGCCAGGTCCCTCCATACCTCATCTCAATTCACTCACTCACCAGGAGACAGGTCCCTCCATACCTCATCTCAATTCACTCACTCACCAGGAGCCAAGTCCCTCCACACCGGGTCTCAATTAACTCACTCGCCAGGAGCCAGGTCCCTCCATAATGGATCTCAATTAACTCACTCACCAGGAGCCAGGTCCCTCCACACCTCATTTCAATTAACTCAGTCACCAGGAGACAGGTCCCTCCATACCTCATCTCAATTAACTCACTCATCAGGAGCCAGTCCTCTCCATACCTGATCTCAGTTACCTCACTCACCAGTAGCCAGGCCTCTCCAGACCTGGCTTAATTCTCACTACACTTAATTCAATTAATTCTCACTATAGCCCTATCAGACAAACTCTAGGATACACATGAGGATACAGAGTCTCAGAAAGGCTGAGAAAGTGGCTTGAGGTCACCTAGGTGGTAAGTGGTAGAGCTAGGAGTTGAAGGCAAGTCTGACTCTCAAGTCCACGCTCGTTCCATTGCACTATCTGCTTTTCTTTCTCCCCAAAGCCACAATATGCCACGATGCGGCCCAAGGCCTCTCCTCCAGTACCGTGCTGAGGGCTCTGAACAGATCAGGGCTGAAGCCAAGATGTCATCCAGTGCAATACCCACATGACCTCCGTGAATATCTACCCTGCCTTAACACTGTTTATCTTTAGGAAGCAGGATGCCTGAGGTCCAAACTTCTCCCTGGTGATCAAACCAGCTAAGACTGATGGAATCCAAGATGGCAGCTCATTTGACCTCTAACTTCATTATAATCTAATTTCCATGTTAAATGACAGTCCCACTAACACCGTAACAGTCAACAACCAACATGACAATGATGGGAAAAAATAACATAAAAAAACAAATAGGAAGGTGGCACTCTGGTTTTGAAAATTTCTCCACCCAGACCCAGAAAACACATGATTCCTCCCCTTGCTTTTTTCATTTTTATTTTTGTAGAGATGGGGGTGTATCACTATGTTGACCAGGATGGTCTCGAACTCCTGGTCTCAGCAATCCTCTCATTTTGGCCTCCCAAAGTTCTGGGTTTATGGGAGTGAGCCATTGCACCTGGCCACTCCTCCCCTTGCTTTTAATGCTCAGCCCCTTCACTAAAGATGCCCTGTATCTGTGACTTCCTGGGTCTCACGAGCAGAAAAGTTGATTTGTGAGCCAAGCTCTCACTTCTCAATTCCATGGCCACCAAATAAAGCCTGCACTGCTTGAGGCTCACTTTCGGTTTTGCATATTGGCTTCATGGCACCAAACAGGGAAAGACCCCATTTTAGGGAAAGTGGCTTTGTCAGTAACAAGGACACAGAAGGAAAGAAATGGAGGATGATTTAGGGCAGAAGTCAGCAAACTATGGTCTATGGGCCAAATCTGGCCACTGCCTGTTTTTGTGCAACTCATAGGCTAAGAATGTTTTCTACATTTTTAGATGGTAGGAGAAGAACAAAAGAGGAAGAATGTTTTGTCACAAAAGTATATGAGATTCAAATTTCAGTGTCCACAGACGGCAATCCTGGCTCCTACCCCTAAAACAATCATTGCAGTGGAGCTCTGCCCTAGCTACGGCCCCTTTCTTCTTTTGGTTCCCTGACTTTGGGGCCTGGAGGGCACAAAGGCAAGGAGCAGGCTGCCATCCACCCCTTCTCAGAGAACCTGCAGGGAGCTCACCATGCTCTGCATCCAGTCTAGGTGGCTCCTAGCGGGGCTTGGTGGGTTCTCCATCCTCAGCACCATCTGCAGCACCATCTTGGTCATCTGAGAAGCTGAGAGAAACACAAGGTAAATGTTCCTGTCCTCATTTCTGCCTCCCAACCCCACTGCTGCTGCTCAATGTCCCCAGTATCTCTCTGCAGACTCCTGTGTGCCCTCAAAAGTCTACACGGTACCAGTCAAGAGACATCCATACTGCAAGATGATAGAAAGGTAAGTGGAACCCAACCACCTCATTCTCTACCCTCATGTCTACCACGGACAGCTGAACCTCTCCCTGTGGAACCTGGAAAAGTAGCTCAGAGAGGAGTAGCAGGTGGCAAGGAACATCAGGGAAACAAAGCTAGAAGGAGCATGTAGGCACCTTTGACCTGAAATAGACAAGATGCAAGATCTCAGGATTGTCAGGGACCTTAGGAACCATCTAGGCCACATCCCGGCTTTGGCCTGAAGTGCAGGCAAAGGGTTTGCCTCTGCCAGCCATCGCATCCAGCTTTGCTGTAGGTGGAATCGGGCCTGTATGTGAGTTACCAGGGTTGCAGAGGACACTGTGGTCTGGGTGGCAGTCTGGTGCCACATGGCAGAATTCATCACAGTAGCAACTTCCCCTCTTGCAGCGGTGATCCGTCCCAAGACAGCAAAGGTTCTGGGGTTGGGAGCAGCTGCCTGGAGAAAAAGGAACATTAAAAAAAAAAAAAAAGATTAAAATTAGCCAGGTATGGTGGTGCACGCCTGTAGTCCCAGCTACCCAGGAGGCTGAGACAGGAGATCACTTGAGCCCAGACGCAGGAAGCTGAAGTGAGCCATGATCACACCAGCGCACTTCAGCCTGGGTGACAGAGCAAGACCCTGTCTCAAAAAAAAAAAAAAAAAAAAAAAAAGGAAAAGAAAAGATAGATTTAACAAATGGTGCTTAGACAACTGGATAAGCACATGCAAAAGAATGCATTTGGACTCCTACCTCAAACCATATACAAATATTAACTCAAAATGGACCATAGACCTAAATGTAAGAGCTGAAACTGGCTGGGTGCGGTGGCTCATGCCTGTAATCCCAGCACTTTGGGAGACCAAGGCAGGCAGATCACTTGAGGCCAGGAGTTCAACACCAGCCTGGCCAACATGGTGAAACCCGTCTCTACTAAAAACACAAAAATTAGCTGGGCTTGGTAGCATGCACCTATAGTCCCAGCTACTCAGGAGGCTGAGGCAGGAGAATTGCTTGAACCCAGGAGGTGGAGGTTGCAGTGAGCCAAGATTGCACAACTGCACTCCAGCCTGGGCAACAGAGCAAGACTCTGCCTCCAAAATAAATAAATAAATAAAAATAAGTCAATCAAATTTAAAACTGGACAAAGGATTTAAATAGACATTTCTCCAAAGAAGATACACAAGTGGCCAGTGAGCATGAAAGATACTCAACATCATTAATCATAAGGAAATGCAAATCCAAACCACAATGAGATACCACCCCACATCCAGTAGGACGGCTAAGATAAAAAATAAAACAGCAAGTGTTGGCTGGGTGGGGTGGCTCACACCTGTAATCACGGCACTTGGGAACACTGAGATGGGTGGATGACGAGTTCAGGAGTTTGAGACCATCCTGGCCAGCATAGTGAAACCCGTCTCTACTAAAAATACAAAAATTAGCTGGGTGTGGTGGCATGCACCTGTAGTCCCAGCTACTCAGGAGGCTGAGGCACGAGAATCTCTTGAACCCAGGAGGCAGAGGTCGCAGTGAGCTGAGATCACGCCACTGCACTCCAGCCTGGCGACAGAGCGAGACCCCATCTCAAAAAAAAAAAAAAAAAAAGCAAGTGTTGAAGTGTTGCTGAGGGTGTGGAGAAATTGGAACCCTCATACACTGCTGGTGGAATTGCAAAATGGTGCAGCCACTTTGAAAATCAATTTGGGGAGATGAGGTGGCAGCAGAAAAGAATAAAAAAAAAAAAGAAAAAAAAGAAAAACAATTTGACAGTTTCTCAGAATGTAAACATAGAGTTGCCATATGACCCAGAAACCCTACTTCTGAGCCTGTAGTTAGGAGAATTAAAAACACATGTTCACACAAAAACCTATCAATGAATATTCATAGCAGTGTTATTCATAATAGCCAAATAGTAGAAACAATTCAAATGCCCTTCAACTGATGAATGGCTAAAACTAAATCTGGTATATCCATATAATGGGATATTACTCAGCCATAAAAAGGAATGAAGTACAGATGCATGCCACAACAACAATGAAACTTGAAAACATGCTAAGTGAAAGAAGCCACTCACAAAAGGCCGTGTATTGTATGATTCCATTTATATGAAATGTTTAGAATAGACAAATCCATCAAGACAGAAAGTATATTAGTGGTTGCCAGGGGCTGGTGAGATGTGTGGACCAGGCAGTGACTGCTGATGGGTCAGAGTTTATTTGGGGCATAACAAACATGTTCTGAAATTAGACAGAGGTGGCCAGGCGCAGTGGCTCACACCTGTAATCCCAGCACTTTGGGAGGCCGAGGCGGGCAGATCATTTGAGGTCAGGAGTTTGAGACTAGCCTGGCCAACGTGGCAAAACCCTGTCTCTACCAAAAAGTGCCAAAAAAATAAAATAAGACAGCAGTGATGGTTCTGCAACCCTGTGAATACACTGAACAACACTGAAATGTACACATGGTGAATTGTACAAAAGGGTAAATCTCACATCCTGTAAATTATCTCTCAATAAAGCTGTTATTAAACAGAGAGAGAGAGAAGGAGAGAAAAGGGGGAGATAAGATGAGGACGGTAATGGGAGTGACAGCGAAGAGAGAAATAGAGAAAACAGCAGAGAAGAGAGTGCCTAAGAGGGAGAGAAACCCCTCCCCCACTCCCCACAGTTAGAGGAAGGTCTTCCAGAGCCCTGTTTACAAACCAGTTCTGCCAACTCTACCCCCTGCCCAAATTTCCCCAAATTGCTCAGCTCAGTTGTGATCTGGTCATTGTCATTCCCTCCAAGAGAAGGGGATGCATCTTCTTTAAGAGTGCGGCAAGCAAGGCGTGGGCAGGAGGGACGCTGGCCCAGTTACCTGGCGAGTCTGTGGCTCAGGTGAGCAGGGGACCCAGGTGTTGTCACCCCAGGACTCTCAACACTCTTCTCCGTCTACTTGACTTTGACCTTCCAAATTGCTTCCTGTTAGGTTAACACCTGGCTCTTTAGGGCTAAACTGGAGGGCTTTGTTTAGGGATAAACTTGAAGGCCTTTCAAAGTTGACACGATCAACAGGGAGCAGGCCTCTGAGCCCTGTGGGCCTGGGTGTGGCTGAGCCAGTCTGTTGTGGAAACAGGGCCAGCAGGTGTCCGGTAGTGTGGTCTGGGGGGTCAAGACTCTGAAGGTGAGGGTGGCCTGGCTGGGGCCACAGCCTCTGAGTTTGGCCTGGCTTTTGCCTCATGTTCAGCTCAGGAGCCTCCTGCAAGTGATCAGCTTCTCTTCTCATGTTGTCCCTCTTCTCCAGAGCCTGGTGCTGCGTCAGGTTGTCACCAAGACCAGGGATCAACCAGAAAGGGCTGGAGTGGAAATAGAGCCCCAGGAGCCACCCAGACTAAGGTTGCCGACAATCTGTGAGACTGAGTTCAATTCAGTGGTCATAACCAACATTTATTTCAACAGGATGACACTGAATGAAATAGAATAGAATAGACCCACATACATTGTATGTAAAAGTCAACTGAGTTCTTTTTGAAATTTCTGTTGGTTTTTATACACACAGATGCACTTACTGGGTCAGAGTATAAAATGTATTTATTAAAGTGAACTGGGGCCAGAAACGTTGGAAAGCCACTGATCTAGAGAGATGTCCTCATTGTATAGACAAGGGGAGAACCTTTTGCCCATGGCTGGGAGTCAAACCAGCAATCCTGACCTCTCCCCTGCTTTCCCACCATATCGTGCTCAGGGTCCTCACTCAAAAAGCCTCTTGTTGCACGTGCTACGGAGCTCTGCTGTTCTCTAAACACCCTGCATTCTCCTGCCTCTGAGCCTTTGCTCAAGCTCTTCCCTCGGCTTGGAAGGCCCTTCCCTCCCATATCCATTAGAATTAAATATTCTATGCTTCAAGGCAGCATTTGAAGACAACTTCCCCCGGGGTGCCGAGGAGCTAGCTCATTATTATGAAGATGAAAAATAAAGAATCAAACATTGATCCAGCCTTTCCATCCAAGCCAAATAGTTGACAAGGGAAATATCTTCACGACAGAGAACCTTCGGCTAACAAGTGCAGAAAGAATGATAGAAAAGCACTACTTGGCAGCCCCTAATGAGAAGTGGATCTCAGCACAAATCATTAGTGGACAGAATTTTATAATGGGTGCACTATCTGGTGGATGAAGTTTAACACCAGTAAAAGTGGGACAGCTGGACACTTTGTGTCTCCTTCGAGGTGCGATAGGAAGTACCCACCTATGGATTCTTCCTGCCTAAGAAATCTCCAGTCCTGATCTCAACTACCAGAGTTCAGGAAAGACAGAGGCAGAGGGACATCCACAAAGATTCAATCAGTCAAACCCAGAAGGTAGGATATGCCGCAGGACACAGTACCTGGTTCGTTCAACAGCTAAATGACATGAAAAAATGGCACTGATCTAGGTATAGATTTAAAGACATTTAAGAAATATGCTAGTTAAACATGTGTGCGTATCTTTTTTGGATCTTGACTTGAATAAACCAGCTGTAAAAAGGCATTTTTCTTTCTTTCTTTTTTTTTTTTTTTTTTTTTTTTTTTTGAGACATGGTCTCACTCGGTGCAGCAGACTGGAATGCAGTGGTATGGTCACAGCTCGCTGCAGCCGCAACTTCTGGGGCTCAAGCAATTTTCTCACTTCAGCCTTCTGAATAGCTGGGACTATAGGTGAACATCAACACACCTTGCTAATTTTTAAACAAATTTTTTTTTTGTAGAGACTGAGTCTCGCTATTGTACCCAGGCTGGTCTCAAACTCCTGAGCTCCAGTGATCCTCCCACCTTGGCCTCCCAAAGTGCTGGGACTACAGGCATCAGCCACCACATCTGATCTTATTTTTTCTTTTTCTCTTCTGCTTTGCTGCTGAATAACAAGATATTTTTGACAAGTGGGGGAAATATGAACACTGATAGGTATTAAACGATAGTAAGTAGTTTTTTAAATTAATTAATTAATTAATTTTTTTTTTAAAGACAGAGTCTTGCTCTGTTGCCCAGGCTGGAGTGCAGTGGCGCAATCTCGGCTCACTGCAACCTCCACCTCCCTGGTTCAAGTGATTCTCCTGCCTCAGCCTCCCGAGTAGCTGGGATTACAGGTACCCGCCACCATGCCTAGCTAATTTTTGTATTTTTAGTAGACACAGGGGTTTCACCATGTTGGCCAGGCTGGTCTTGAACTTCTGGCCTCAGGCGATCTGCCCGCCTCAGTCTCTCAAAGTGTTGGGATTACAGGTGTGCGACCATATTTGTTTTGGCTCTGATAAGGTATTGTGGTTATATTTTTTAAATATGGGGGATAAGAGCTTGAGCATAATGTTGATAATATTGAAGGTGGCCAACTGGTACCTTGGGTTCATCATCCTATTCTCTTTACTTTTGCATGTGTTTGAATTTTTCCACAATAAATAGCTTTGGGTTTTTTTTTTTTTTTTTTCCTGAGATGGAGTCTCCCTCTGTCACCCAGGCTAGAGCGCAGTGGCGCAATCTCGGGTCACTGCAACCTCTGTCTCCCAGGTTCAAGTGATTCTCCTGCCTCAGCCTCCCAAGTAGCTGGGATTACAGGCACCCACCACCACACCTGGCTAATTTTTGTATTTTAATAGCGATGGTATTTCACCATGTTACCCAGGCTGGTCTTGAACTCCTGACCTCAAGTGATCCACCCGTCTCGGCCTCTCAAAGTGCTGGGATTACAGGCGTGAGCCACCGCACCCAGCCAAGAAGTACAGCCTTGTGCCACATCACGATGTTTAGACCGATGATGGACCATATATATGACGGTGGCCCCATAAGATTATAATAGGGCATATGCAGAAACCCGATATATGGTGCTCGATATTGGCCTTGAGGATCAAGCAGGGGAAATGACTGATGTTCAGTAATGGGACATGTGCTGGGACATGTGGCTTTCCATGTGGAAAACAAACATGTAAATAAATATATATATAAACCATCTAGGTTTATGTAAACTCTCGATTTCATTGTTGTGTGAACTCTATGATATTCATACAACAAAGAAATCATCTGATGATGCATTTCTCAGAATGTGTCTCCATCATTAAGCAACAGCTGACTGTGTTCCTACCAATGACATCTAGTTTTCTCCCAAGAGAAGTTCTAGGGCCAGGCACGGTGGCTCACACCTGTAATCCCAACACTTTGGGAGGCGGAGGTGGGCAGATCACCTGAAGTCAGAAGTTCAAGACTAGCCTGGCTAACATGGCGAAACCCTGTCTCTATTTAAAATGCCAAAAATTAGCCAGGCATGGTGGTGCATGCCTATAATCCCAGCTACTCGGGAGGCTGAGGCAGGAGAATGGCTTGAACCCAGAAGGTGGAGGTTGCAGTGAGCCGAGATCGTACCACTGCACTCCAGCCTGGCGGGGGACAGAGCAGACTCTGTCTGGAAAAAAAAAAATTAAAAAGAGAGAGAGAGGAGAGAGAGAGAGAAGTTCTAGTAAATGCAACTGTATTCACCCTGTTGTATTTCCAGGGATGTTTGAATAAACCCAGTAGACTGGTGCCTGGAAATTGCCCAGTGAGTCTGCCTGTTAATCTGGATCTGGGTTTATCACACCTACCTTCCCTCCTGTCCCGTCCACCCCAGCCACCCACAGTGCCCACGCTGCCTCTATCCGAGGGAGCATCCTCTGGATACTAGACCCTCCCAAGCTGATCATCCAAAGACATCTTATCCAGATATAAAACTGGATACACAAAGAAGCCACATCAACCATATAGTCGGTACTTAATAAGTGTCTGAATACATGAATTATTTGATTAATGAATTAATGAATGCTGGGTCACAGGAGGTGGGTCATGCCAGAGACAAAACAGATTAATTGATTGAATGAATGAGAGAGCAGAGATTGGGGTCTCTTTGACCTGTAGCACAGATGCCAGCCTAGCTCCTCACCTGTCTTCACCCCAAGGCTCAGCCACAGCAGGAGGAGGAGGACCAGCCACGTGGCAGCAGGCATCAAGCAGAGATAGAAGTGCTGCAGCGTCCAAGGCCTGGTCTTTAAATATCCACCCATCCCAGCCAGCCCACCTGGTTCCTCCCTACTCCTGGGGAGGAACCAGCAGACACCTGGGCAGTCACTGGCAGACAGCAGGAGTGACACAGGTATCCCAGCTGCTTGAAATAGCTCACCCAAGCAGAGGTAATTTTGACATCCTGGAAACTCCAGCCTCCAGGGGAAGAATCTGAAAAACCAGAGTGACAAAATGACAGCGCTCACAGGAACTTTGCAGATTATCTAATCTTTTTATTTATTTTATTTTATTTTTTGAGACAGAGTCTCACTCTATCGCCCAGGCTGGAGTGCAGTGGTACGATCTCAGCTCACTGCAACCTCTGCCTCCCGGGTTCAAGAGGTTCTTCTGCTTCAGCCTCCCCAGTAGCTGGGATTACAGGTGGCTACTATTACACCCAGCTAATTGCTGTATTTTTAGTAGAGACGAGTTTTCACCACGTTGGCCAGGCTGGTCTCAAACTCCTGACCTCAGGTGATCCACTGCCTCAGCCTCCCAAAGTGCTGGGATTACAGGCATGAGCCACCACACCTGGCCAATTGACTTTTATTAGCATTCATATACAGGTTTTGTGTGAATATATGTTTTCATTTCTCCGGGATAAATGTGCAAAAATGAAATTACTGCATCATATAGTAGTTGCACATTCAGTCATAAAAAAAAACAGCCAAGCTGTTTCCCAGAGTGGCTGCACCACTTTAAATTCTCACAGCAGTGATTGAGTGGTACAGTTCCTTTGCATCCTTGACAATAGTATTGTTACTATTTTTTATTTTGGTGATTCTTTTTTTTTTTTTTTTTTTTGAGACATAATCTTGCTCTGTCGCCCAGGCTGGAGCGCAGTGGCATGATCTCAGCTTACTGCAACCTCCGTCTCCTGGGTTTAAGCAATTATCTTGCCTCAGCCTCCCAAGGTGCTAGGACTACAGGCGTGTGCCACCACACCTGGCTAATTTTTGTGTTTTCAGCAGAGACAGGGTTTTGCCATGTTGGCCAGGTTGGTCTTGAATTCCTGATCTCATGTGATCTGCCTGCCCCAGCCTCCCAAAGTGTTGGGATTACAGGTGTGAGCCACCATGCCTGGCCTTATTTTGTTGATTCTAACACGTGGTGATATCTCCTGGTTTAAAGAAGCGTTTCCCTAATGGTATCAAACATCTTTTCATGTGCTTATTTGCAATCTGTATATCTTCTCCAGTGAAATGTTGCTTTGTATCTTTTGCTCATGTTCTAATTGCATTCTTTGTTTTGTTACTATTTTAAGACTTTTAAATGTATTCTAGATACTAGTCCTTTGCAAATATAGTCATGCATCGCATAAGGACATTTTGGTCAATGACAAACTGCATATAGGATGCGGTCCCATAAGATTATAATAATGGGCCTGAAAAAATTCCTGTTGCCGAGTGCAATGCTACTCATGTGTCTAGTGATGCTCGTGTAAAGCTACTGTGCTGCCACTTGCATAAAAGCACAGCGCACACCATTCTGTACAGTACACAATACTTGATAATGATAATAAATGTGTTCCTGGATAGCACAGCACACACCATTCTGTACAATACACAATACGTGATAATGATAATAAATGTGTTCCTGGTTTATGTATTTACTATAATATACTATTGATCAGTGTTTTAGAGTGTACTCCTTCTCTCTATAAAAGAATTAAGTGAACTAGCAGGCCCTTTGGGAAGTACTGTAGAAGGCATTGTTACCACAGGCGATGACAGCTCCATGTGTGTTATTGCCCCTGAAGACCTTCCAGAGAGACAAAATGTGGAGGTGGAAGACAGTGATACTGATGACCCTGACCCTGTGTGGATCTAGGCTAACATGTGTTTTTGTGTCTTAGTTTTCAACAAAAAAGTTTAAAAAGTTAAAATACTAAGTTTATAAAGTTAAAAAGTTACAGTAAGCTAAGGCTGACTTATTGAAAAAATGTGCTTATACATGTAATATAGCTAAGCTGGCTTTTGCAAACATAGAGTCCTGTGGATGTTATGCTGACTTCGGCTTGGGGTTTTTCACAGAGAGAAGCATGGCAAGGGGGACTCCATCAGGTTGGTGCAAAGGTAATTGCTGTTTTCGCAATTAAAATAATGGGAAAAACTGCAATTACCTTTGCACCCACCTAATAACTTATCTAGGGGACTCTTTCTCCACCCAAAACCCAGGACACTTGGCCCACAACTACATCACCACCCCAGGGTTCCAGGACACTTGGCCCATGACTACATCACCACCCCAGGGTTCCAGGACACTTGGCCCACAACTACATCACCACCCCAGGGTTCCAGGACACTTGGCCCATGACTACATCACCACCCCAGGGTTCTTTACTATAGTTTTCTTGTTCTTCCTTCAATTACGTGTGACATTCCCAACTCCAAGATTCTTCCAGTCCTTCTCTCCCCCTTCATCTAAAGCAGGCTGTCATGAGTTTCTGTCAGCTGCAATCAAGAGTCATGACTCTTACAGTGGGTAGGATTACTCCCTTTTTTGTTGTCATTAAGGAAACCTGTAAGAGGAAAAACAAACACACTTTATGTGGAGAGACAGGGAAAGTTGTTCTATTCAGTCTGGAATCTAGTCCCTCAGCTGGTGGTCCACCTTCGGATTCACTGGTCTTGGGAGTAAGACGGTGCCTTGTAGTCAAAGAAGTGAGGAATTCTGGTGCCTCCTGAGGGTGGAACTGAGGAGAGGAGACGTGAGAGAGGATGCTGGAAAGGAGGAAGCAGCCAGAATGTGTAGGGCCTTTGTGGCCAGGCCAAGGAGCCTCAGGGAATATCTGAGCGTCTTAAATAGGTCAGAGGGCAATTCTGAAAACAAACTCCTTCTACCTGCTGTGTAGGCAATGAGTTGTCATTGTTAGATAGAGGATAAAATGAACCCAATTAGATTATTGCCATCATTCCAGTGATTGAAGATGTTGATCTGTAATAGGGTAATGGCCATACACTTTCGAGAGGAAAAATGTTCAAATTTAGGGGATAATTAGAAATCTGCACTTACAGCCCTTGGTGACACTTTTCCTATGAGCCAAACGGAGAGGGGGAGAGAGAGAGAAGGTGGACAGTCACCGACATATGAGGCAGTGGAAGAGGAACAGGCATGGATAGGAAGAGAATTGTGGGACACACTGGGTTCGAGATGCCTGTGTGAGACAGTCTCATGAATATGTCCAGTAGTATATTGACCAAGCAAGTCTGTCAGGAGCCTCTGGAAATGAGGTACAGAATTTGATAGTCATCACTATGGAGATGGTAACCTGAGCCGTGAGAGAAGCTAAAATCCCCGGGGAGAGGATGTAGAATGAGAGGAGAAAATGGGCCAGGACAAACACAAGGAATGCTCGGAGGGAGGGGCAAAACCAGAACAGTACAGCGTCCCCAAACCAAGGAAAAGAATGTTGCCAGAAGAGGAGAGTCAGGCTGTTTCAAACTCTGCTAAGAAGTGAAGGATGTTGCATATTGAGTAGAGTCCATTGGGGTTACCAGTCAGGCTGACTCAGGGATCCTCTTTGGCAGAAGTAGTTCCAATGAAGTGGGAGGAGGAAGGGAGGAGCAGAGGCCAAATGAGCGTGAGGAGTGTTTAGGAGTTGACAGAAAGTGTATCCACTTTTTTGAGACGTTTAGCCAGGAAGAGGGAGAGACATGGGGCAGTAGGTGGAGGAGGAGATGAAATTAAGGGAGTGTATGGAGTTTTAAAATGGAAAGCTTGATCCTGTTTAAATGCTGTTTTATGCCCCTACGAGGGCGAGGTTAAACATACAGAATAGAGGCATAACTGATAGAGCCAAGACTCCCACCCAGGAGCGGGTTTCGAGCGGCACCTCTCTAATTCAATCCCAAAGGAAAAGAGGATACATGTGGGTCCAGGTACATGCTGAGGTTTGGTGGCAGGACTTTGAAGGAGGTCCCATCTGATGGCTTCTATTTCTCCTGTGAAATAGGGGAAGCCCTGTCTGCTGGTTGTGATGTGCCGTGACAGTCAGAAATGCGGGGAAAAGGGGACAGGTCTGAAACGGGAGGCGTTAAGAATGGGAAAGTAAAGGCAGGCGCGATGGCTCACGCCTGTAATCCCAGCACTTTGGGAGCTCGAGGCGGGTGGATCACCTGAAGTCGGGCATTTGAGACCAGCCTGGCCAACATGGTGTAACCCCATCTCTACTAAAAATACAAAAATTAGCCAGGCATGGTGGTGTGTGCCTGTAATCCCAGCTACTTGGGAGGCTGAGGCAGGAGAATCGCTTGAACCCAGGAGGTGGAGGGTGCAGTGAGCTGAGATCGCGCCGCTGCACTCCAGACTGGGTGGCAAAGCGAGACTCCAACTCAAAAAAAAAAAAAAAAAAGAATGGGAAAGGGAGAGTGTCTGGGGAAGCAGCGTTGCCTCGGCAAGGCCTGAGACCGGCTGGGGTTAGAGATCAGGACTCCCGCGTGGCCTCGTCTCTGCCTCTGTGCATTTTCCCCCAGCAGGTCAGCAGTGTGAAAGGCGGGGGTTCTAGTAGGTCTCACAGGGAGACAATGCAGGAAGGGGCTGAGAATTGCAAGTGAGAGGTTATTGGTAGGACGGACAATGCAGGAGCTGGATGGACTGCACGGACTGAGCGATCGCCACCGAGAGATATTTGGGGTACCCTGCCCCAGTCCCCAGCCCTCAGCCCCCGACCCACCATGGGAGGTGGGAGCAGCGGGCAGGCCGGTTGGGGGCCAGATACCCAGGCAGTGGGATGTGCAGTGGGAGGGGTCTCCGCCCCTGCCCCGGGTCCCCACTGGCCCCTCCGCCGCCGACCGGCCCCCCCGCGGCATCCCAGAGCCGACCCAGGCCCAACTAGAGGAATGGCTGCAGAGCTGGGATCCTAATGACACAGGACAGTGGTGGAGCGTTAAGAGCTCGGTGGTAAACGTGCACTGAAATACAGTCATGCTGTGCAGAAGCTCTCTAGTTTCATTAGATACCTTTTGTCAATTTTGGCTTTTGTTGCCATTTCTTTTGGTGTTTTAGTCATGAAGTCTTTGCCCATGCTTACGTCCTCAATGGTGTTGCCTAGGTTTTCTTCTAGGATTTTTCTGGTTTTAGGTCTCACGTTTAAATCTTTAATGCATCTTGAGTTAATTTTTGTATAAGTGTCAGCAAGGGGTCTAGTTTCGGTTTTCTGCATATGACCAGGCAGAGTGAACAGGCAACCTACAGAATGGAAGAAAATTTTTGCAATCTATCCATCCGACAAAGGGCTAATATCCAGAATTTACAAGGAACTTAAGTAAATTTACAAGAACAAACAACCCCATCAGAAAGTGTGCAAAGGATATGAACAGACACTTCTCAAGACATTTATGCAGCCAACAAACATGAAAAAAACTCATCGTCACTGATCATTAGAGAAATGCAAATCAAAACCACAATGAGATATCATCTCACACCAGTTAGAATGGTGATCATTAAAAAGTCAGGAAACAACAGATGCTGGAGAGGATGTAGAGAAATAGGAATAGTTTTACACTGTTGGTGGGAGTGCAAATTAGTTCAACCATTGTGGAAGACAGTGTGGCGATTCCTCAAGGATCTAGAACTAGAAATACCATTTGACCCAGCCATCCCATTACTGGGTATATACCCAAAGGATTATAAATCATTCTACTGTAAAGACACATGCACACGTATGTTTATTTATTATTTTTGAGACGGAGTCTTGCTCTGTTGCCAGGCTGGAGTGCAGTGGCACGGTCTCGGCTCACTGCAACCTCCACCTCCCGGGTTCAAGCGATTCTCTTGCCTCAGCCTCCTGAGTAGCTGGAACTACAGGCACACACCACCACGCCCAGCTAATTTTTTGCATTTTACTAGAGAAGGGGTTTCACCATGTTGGCCAGAATGGTCTTGATCTCCTGACCTCGTGATCCACCCGCCTCAGCCTCCCAAAGTGCTGGGATTACAGGTTTGAGCCACCGCGCCCAGCCCCGAGCACATGTATGTTTATTGCGGCACTATTCACAATAGCAAAGACTTGGAACCAACCCAAATGCCCATCAATGACAGACTGGTTAAAGAAAATGTGGCACATAGACACCATGGAATACTATGCAGCCATAAAAAAGGATGAGTTCATGTCCTTTGCAGGATCATGGATGACACTGGAAACCATCATTCTCAGCAAACTAACACAGGAACAGAAAACCAAACACTGCATGTTCTCACTCATAAGTGGAAGTTGAACAATGAGAACATATGGACACAGGGAGGGGAACATCACACACCGGTGCCTGTTGGGAGGTTGGGGGCAAGGGGAGGGATAGCATTAGGAGAAATACCCAATGTAGATGACAGGTTGATGGGTGCAGCAAACCACCATGGCACATATATACCTATGTAACAACGCTGCACGTTCTGCACATGTATCCCAGAACTTAAAGTATAATAATAATAATAATAAAGGAATTGAGAGACTGTTGATATCAACTGTTCCCTGAGCCACATGGAAAGCTGTATCCTCTGCAGGCTGCTTGGTGAGTATGTGAGGA
Organism: Homo sapiens; assembly: GCF_000001405.40. Lineage (NCBI taxonomy): Eukaryota > Metazoa > Chordata > Mammalia > Primates > Hominidae > Homo > Homo sapiens. The sequence continues at coordinate 97,936 of NT_187688.1, forward strand.
GGTATATTCATTCACTTTGAGACCTATTTCTCTAAGAAAGGGTCCTGAAAGGCTTTCCCCTGCTACAGGGACAGCCCTTGGCAAGGAAGCCACTGTCCTCAGGCACACAGGGCTCCTTCATCTCCTGCAACAGATACAGCCCTTGGCAAGGAAGCCACTGTCCTTGAGCACATAGACAGGGCTCCTTCATCTCCTGCAACAGGGACAGCCCTTGGCAAGGAAGCCACTGCCCTTGAGCACATAGACAGGGCTCCTTCATCTCCTGCAACAGGGACAGCCCTTGGCAAGGAAGCCACTGTCCTTGAGCACATAGACAGGGCTCCTTCATCTCCTGCAACAGGGACAGCCCTTGGCAAGGAAGCCACTGTCCTTGAGCACATAGACAGGGCTCCTTCATCTCCTGCGACAGGGACAGCCCTTGGCAAGGATGTCACTTCCTTGGGCACACAGACAGGGCTCCTTCAGCAGACAGCAGATAGATATGCAATGCAAGCCTTGGTTTTTTGGGATGATTCCAATGCAGCACCAGATACGTGTGTCCAATTCTGGGGTTTGCTCATAGGAAACCCATGTGCCAGCAAATCTATGTCACATTCTCCAGTATCACCTTTATAAGGAATAAAGTCAATTTACTGTTCTTCTGTAAAAAGAAAGAAACGTATTCATGACTGTAGCTTGGCTGTCACTCAAGTGCAAGTGAATGGTGGATGTGGCCGCGCGGCTCCACGCACTGATTCATAATCCCCAAAAGGGACAAGGGCAGACCCAGCTCTCTGCAGGGCAAACGCTCCACAACCCAAAACACTTGTTTCTGTTGTTGTTGCTGTTTGGAAACTCCCTCTTCTATTTCCCACCTCCCTCTTTCCCGTTCTCATTCCCTTTTCTCTGCTCCTATTTCTGTTTCCCTCAGTTCCACCTAATACCCCGTGGTGTCACCCTAGCCCTTTCCTCTACCCACTCCAGCCTTACTACCCCCAACGTCCCACACCCTGGGAAACACCAAGGTCTGCCTCTGTACCTCCAAGTTCTTTCCCCGTTATTGCCCTGGGTCAGTCCTTTGTGGGGGCTCCTCTCTCCTCTCTTGATTTCTTTTCATCTGGCTAACCTCTAATCCTGTAAGATTTACCTCAAATATCTTTCAAGAAGTATTTTCTGAATCCAAGGAGGACCTAAAAGCCATTCTGCTGGCCTCCCAGAGCTGAATCTGCCCATCTCCCCCGGATTATATTAAAATTATAAGTCATGTAAAATCCTTTTGGAACGAGACAGGGTATGATAAATAAGAAATATTCAACAAGTATACGTTACTTGTGTACACATACCACCTGACTTCTTTAACAACACATTGCAAGAAATAAAAAGATGGAGACATACGGCTGGGCGCAGTGGCTAATGCCTGTAATCCCAGCACTTTGGGAGGCCAAGGCAGGTGGATCACTGAGGTCAGGAGTTCGACACCAGCCTGGCCAACATGGTGAAACCCCCATCTCTACTAAAAATACAAAAATTAGCCAAGTGTGGTGGCAGGCACCTGTAATCCCAGCTACTCGGAAGGCTGAGGCAGGAGAATCTCTTGAACCCGGAATGCGGAGCTTGCAGTCAAGCAAGATTATGCCACTGCACTCCAGCCTGGGTGACACAGCAAGACTCCATCTCAAAAAAAAAAAAAAAAAGAAAAAGAAAAAGAAAAAACACCATGCATGCATACTCATATGAATGTACAAATGGATGAGTCTAGAACAAAAGATACTAGCCTGATACATATACAAACTATGCAGCTGCAGTCCCTGCCTCTTCCGCAACCCTGACCTCTAAGAAAGCTCTAACTCTGAATCCTGTCAGCACCTGGGCTGTGCTGCTTGGGACAACATTGTCTTCACAAGTCCTCTCCACATTCTCAGAGGTGGGGGTATTGCCAATGATGGGGGTTACTGCCTGAGTCCCGTCACCAGGGGACAAAGCTACAGCAGACACCACCATCTGCCAACAAAAAGAGAGATCATCTCCCACCCCTGGTTCTGCTGACGCAATCACTGGAAGCATCGAGGCACCACTATGTCCTCACCTGCCTCGGATTCAATTTCCTCCTAGCCAGGTCTGTTCTAAGGTCTCCAGAAGTTGAGAAATTAATTGAAAGATAACACTTTCCTCCCTGTGTTAAGGTTTATCACATAATGTATCCAAATACTGGGCCAGTCTTTCCTTTGGTCTCATTTCTATGAGCTAATCTGAAAATGCCTTTTCTGTTTTCCTTAGAATTTTTCTAAATGTTTCTGGGCGCTTGTGTTCCTGAGGCTTTCCACAGTGCACCCTCTTGTTCATCTGATGTCTTTGGCACATATAGGCCCTCGACAGGTAGTTGTTCAATGAACAGATGACCATCCTGTCCTTTGTGTGAACAAGCATAGCAAGTGCACATTGTATCTGTTTGTGTATCCAACAGCGTCCCTCCAAAGCCACTTTGTTCACTTATTTTCTCAGGATCACGGACGGCTGCATCTTGACATAAGCACACAGAATCTTTCCTTTTCCAGTCACTTTTCCTTTTTCCAGATTCCGGCCATAGAATTCCAGGCACAGAGCCAACCATGCCTGGCACCCCCTCCTGTCTTGGGACAAGGATACTTTCTCCTGTGGCTCCCATCTTGCTTCCAACATTCTTCTGCCAGAATTCAGTTTGGCGGACAATGACCTACTACTTTTAATTTTTTTCCCCTTTTTGCTCTTCTACCAAATACCGCTTTTCACCCAGGCTTTTCACTGCGTAGTGGACAATCTATCAAACAGGTGCTGTCCAGCGTGAGGGGCAGTTGCAAAGGTCTGCATCGGTGCTGGCTGATGGAACTTTCCGGTGATGGCATCATTCCGTAGCTGCACTGTCCAGTGAGGAGGCTACTTGCCACTGTGGCTACTGCTTGGGATGGTGCAGGTCTGAATATCTTACTCACAGCTCACCTTTTTGGTGCCTTTGATCCGTATTAGGAATTATCCACATCTTCTCTCTGGGCAATATTCTACTTTTTATATTGACCCAATTATTTTACTTCTTTGGTGTGTCCTTTCTCCTAACACATATGGGTTCACTTTGAAACCCTGAAACCCACATTTACAAAAACATTTTCAATATGAAACATTGTTCCATGACTCATTACTGGAGTACCATCAACATTTACATTTCCAGACCACCCACTGCCCAGTGGTTTTCTTGGTCTCAGTACTCATGAAAACGGTCTGAAGGTTTGTTTTGGGTTCCTAAGTAGTAGACACACGCACAACACTGCCTGTCAGTTATTTCTTGGAAACTAAATCAGCCCTTCTGTTGCCATCCTATCATGCTTCAGGGGTGCCTGTGCTAGTTTTTAATTCTTTGTCCTAACACTTAAATGTTTGCTCAAACGCCCATATTAATACTTCCTCTTAGTTTACAAAAGGATTTACTTTCTTACTGGTTGGGATGAAGCTGCCTGAGGTTGCCACCTGTTATTTTTCCTTCATTTATTGGACCATGTCATCCCATTACATGTTAGCCGTGGAGGTTTTCAAACTGTGTTCCCTGGACATGTTAGAAATGCAAATTCTCAGACCGAACCAGGACTGAATCGGAAGATCTGGGGTAGGGTCCCTCCAGGACTGAAAACGGAAGGTCTGGGGTGGGGTACCCCAGGACTGAATCGGAAGGTCTGGGGTGGGGTCCCCCCAGGACTGAATCGGAAGGTCTGGACGAGGGTCCCCCCAGGACTGAATCAGAAGATCTGGGGTAGGGTCTCCCCAGGACTGAATCGGAAGGTCTGGGGTGGGGTCCCCCCAGGACTGAATTGGAAGGTCTGGACTAGGGCCCCCCCAGGACCGAATCGGAAGGTCTGGACTAGGGTCCCCCCAGGACTGAATTGGAAGGTCTGGGGTAGCGTCCCTCCAGCTGATCCTGTTACACAGGTTAGAGAACCATGGCATTAGGGGTAGCAATTTGACAATTCTTTTTTTTTTTTTTTGAGACAGAGTCTCACTCTTGTTGCCCAGGCTGGAGTGCAGTGGCGCACTCTCGGCTCACTGCAACCTCCGTCTCCCAGGTTCAAGCAACTCTCCTGCCTCAGCCTCCTGAGTAGCTGGGATTACAGGCACCCATCATCATGCCTGGCTAATTTTTTGTATTTTTAGAGATGGGGTTTCACTATGTTGGCCAGGCTGGGACAATTCTTAAACTGTCATTCTTTACTCACTTACTTGCAGGAATTCTTATGTAAAGAACTTTCCCTAATCAACAAGGTTTCCCTGAATTGCAATTTGTAGAGAAAAGACAGGATAATTACTGATCTTCCTTCAAGTGTCCATTCCCAGTGTTAGGAGTTAGTGCCCTAGGTACCTCCAAGAGTGACCAATTACATGTGTTTGTTTGGTTTTGGCTTTGAAACCACCACTATGAATTCATGGTTTTCATGTATTAGAGACCACTTTCTAGGTGCTTGATGTGTCTACTGCTACTGGGGCAGAGGTAGAAAATGTGTCTACGGTAAAAGAACAACAAATGAGTTCACGCTTATATTTCTATTTCAAATTTAGTATACGGTTTTACACCTTTTTCTCAGAAAAATCTTGTTTTATTTTTTGAGATAGAGTTTTGTTCCTGTTGCCCAGGCTGGAGTGCAGTGGCACAATCTCGGCTCACTGCAATCTCTGCCTCCTGTTTCAAGCGATTCTCCTGCTTCAGCCTCCCCAATAGCTGGGATTACAGGCACCTGCCACCATGCCCAGCTAATTTTTCAATTTTAGTAGAGATGGCGTTTCACCATGTTGGCCAGGCTGGTCTCAAACTCCTGACCTCAGGTCATCTGCCCACCTCGGCCTCCCAAAGTGCTGGGACTTGGGAGGATTTTCCCTTGCCAGAAAAATCTTAGTTTTAGCATTAACATAATTAGTTATTTGCTTTAACTCCCACCCCACATAATTTCAAAGGATTAATACCTATAAGACGAGTAACGGAGATGATTGATTGAAATTTAGGATTCAGTGGCTCTATTTGTCTTTAGACTATGGCTCACTAAATCTGCACACTTGAAGTGCTGTGTTCTAGCGATCCTCTGATGACACATGAAGTAATAGGCTGCGTGACTGTCACCAGCCTGATGTGCAGTTGGGCTGCAGAACCCCGTGATGCTGCCTAGCCCAGCCAGCCCCAGGTCACTCCTCAGACTCAAACTCGATTCTGACACCACCAGCACCCGGGACGCTGCCTAGGGGCTTTCTCTGGTGGCAGCAGCATGTCCTGGAGCAGGCCAGGGGTGCCCGGAATTGACCATCCTGAACCTGTGCAGCGTGGGCTGGTGAAGGAACGCACCAGCTCCCACAGTGAACACGGGCCCAGCTGTCCACATGAGACCCGGCTCCCGGACGCCCCATGCTGCCGCCTCTTTCCTGTCTCACCTCCCACTTCCCTTCAGCTGCTGCTCAGGGCCACCTTCCAAATTTTTGTCTCAGGGTTGGCGCCTGTAGAATGCAATCCAAGGAATTTAGATTCATTCATTTCAGATACCATTCTTTCAATTTTAGGGACTATCTTAAAAACTTAGTTTGGTAATATGTAAAACACTTACAATTTCAAAGTCCAGATATTACTTCAGAGTCTATTTCGGTCTCACTTCCACCACTGACCCCTGTCCTCCACAGCAACCACTTTAGATTTTTATCTTTGTACTGTTTTAAGAAAAAGCAAATATATATTTGCATTATATTATATGTACTCTGCCCCTTATCAATAGGCGTTCCTCATTCCTCCTTCTGGTACGGAGTTCCCCACTGCACGAATTAATGTTCCTAATCCCTTACTGATGGACATTTTGATTGTTTCCAGTTTTACAAATGCCACAGTGAAGAACTTTGTGGCAAACACATTCAGGCTGTGAAAAGAACTCTGTGGATAAAGTCCTTTCATTTCTTTGCCAGAGTTTTTTTTGAGGCAGATTCTAGAATTGCTGAGTCTAAGGGCAAATGCCATGTCGTTTTGTTAGATGCTGCCAAATCCTCTTCCATGAGGCTGCAACGTTCTGCATTCCACAGTGACGTATGAGAGTCCTTGTACCCCACAGCTTCATAAACAAAGCATGACAGCAAACCTGCACGTTTACCCATCACACAGTTGAGAAATTTTATCTACTTTCACCTTTTTTTTTGGTTAGCATTTTTATTCCCAGCTTTTTTGTGGTATAATGCGCAGAAGGTAATGAACACATTCTACCTGCAAGCTTCTTCCTGTGCCTTTGGAATCTGCTCCTGCCAGTCTGCAGGGAACCACGGATCTGCTTTCCGTCACGTAGGAGGCATTCTCGACACCCTCTGTACACAGCATGCGCTTTATTTGGCTTCTCTTACGCAGCGTAGTGACTTTCAGATTTATTCAAGCTGCTGCGTGCGCCAACAGTCCACTCCTTCCTAGTGCTGAGGCCCCCATCACATGAGCACAACTGTTTCTTGTGTGTGATGTGTTGTCCTCTGGCTGTGCACTGCCAAAAAAGACATCATTAAAAAAAATTTAAATATAATGTAAGACCTGCCTTGTCTTAGGAAACGTTTTTCTGGCAGTGGCTCACACCTATAATCCCAATACTCTGGGAGGCTGAGGCAGGAGGACTGCTTGAGCCCAGGAGTTTGGGACCAGCCTGGGCAAGAGGGTGAAACCCTGTCTCTAAAAATTAGCCAGGCATGGTGGCTCACACCTGTAGTCTCAGCTCTTAGGGAGGCTGAGGTGGGAGGACTGCTGGAGCCCAGGAGGTGGAGGCTGCAGTGAGCCGAGATCACACCACTGCACTCCAGCCTGGGCAGCATGGCAAGACTCTGTCTCGACCAAGAAAAAAACAAAAAATTAACAGAAGGAAAAACAAAACGGCTTTCTTATCAAAAATACACTTTAAGAACAAATTTATAATATTAAGTTGCTGCAAAAGTAATTGTGCCTTTTACCATTGAAAGCAATGGCAAATACTGCAATTACTTTTGCTCCAACCTAATATTATTTTCTAATGACAAACTTGGAAATAACTGTCATTGCTCTCTAAAAAGAACAGCCTAAAAATAAAGCAGCAGCCCATTTACTTCTATGCCAGTTCTTTTAGCATTTGGTTATTTAAACCGGCAGTCCCTAACCTTTTTGGCACCAGGGACTGGTTTCACGGAAGACACTTTTTCCACTGACAAGTGTGGGGATGGTTTGGAGATGAAACGGTTCCATCTCAGATCATCAGTATTAGATTCTCATAAGCGGGGCATAACCTAGATCCTTCTCATGCGCAGTTCACAACAGGATTCCACTCCTATGAGAATCTAATGCCACCACTGATCTGACAGGAGGCGGAGCTCACACAGCAATGATATGACAGGGGCGGAGCTCACAATAATGATATGACAGGGGGCGGAGCTCACACAGTAATGATATGACAGGGGGCGGAGCTCACACAGTAATGACAGGGGGCGGAGCTCACACAGTAATGATGACAGCGGGCGGAGCTCACACAGTAATGCTCTGGCAGGGGGCGGAGCTCACACAGTAATGCTCTGGCAGGGGGCGGAGCTCACACAGTAATGATGACAGGGGGCGGAGCTCACACAGTAATGATGACAGGGGGCAGAGCTCACAGTAATGCTCTGGCAGGGGGCGGAGCTCACACAGTAATGCTCTGGCAGGGGGCGGAGCTCACACAGTAATGCTGACGGGGGTGGAGCTCACACAGTAATGCTGACAGGGGGTGGAGCTCACACAGTAATACTCTGGCAGGGGGCGGAGCTCACACAGCAATGCTCTGACAGGGGGCAGAGCTCACACAGTAATGCTCTGGCAGGGGGCGGAGCTCACACAGTAATGCCGACGGGGGTGGAGCTCACACAGTAATGCTGACAGGGGGTGGAGCTCACACAGTAATACTCTGGCAGGGGGCGGAGCTCACACAGCAATGCTCTGACGGGGCAGAGCTCACACAGTAATACTCTGGCAGGGGGCGGAGCTCACACAGTAATGCTCTGACAGGGGGCGGAGCTCACACAGTAATCTCTGGCAGGGGGCGGAGCTCACACAGTAATGCTCTGCCAGGGGGCGGAGCTCACACAGTAATGCTCTGCCAGGGGGCGGAGCTCACACAGTAATCTCTGGCAGGGGGCGGAGCTCACACAGTAATGCTCTGACAGGGGGCGGAGCTCACACAGTAATGCTCTGGCAGGGGGCGGAGCTCACACAGTAATGCTCTGGCAGGGGGTGGAGCTCACACAGTAATGCTCTGGCAGGGGGCGGAGCTCACACAGTAATGCTCACTGGCTGGCTGCTCACCTCCTACTGTGTGGCCTGGTTCCTAACAGGCCATGGACTGGAACAATCTGTGGCCTGGGGATTGGGGACCCCTGATTTAAAGAATCGAGGACACACTCACCTAGCAAACCATCTGCTAAGAAAAAAGGAGGAAAAGCACCAACATTAATTTGAACTTAGAAATAAACTACAAGGCCAGACATGGTGGTTCACACCTATAATTCCAGCACTTCGGGAGGCCAAGGAGGAACGATCACTTAAGCCCAGCAGTTTGAGACCAGCCTAGGCAACAAAGTGAGACCCTGTCCCTACAATTACAAAATAAATGAGCTGGGCGTGGTGGTGCACACCTGTAGCCCCAGCTACTTAGAAGGCTGAGTCGGGAAGATCACCTGAGCTGCCCAGGAGTTTGAGGCTGCAGTGAGCTGAGACTGCACCAACCCTGTCTCAAAAAAAAAAAAAAAAAAAAGAAACTGCAACAAAATATCTGGATTTTGATGTAACAGAATACAAAGATAATTACATTTGATTTTTAGGTCAACAAATATGACAAGTCATAACAGGAAAATATTTTAAATGGATTTGGAAATAAAAGAAAGTTTGTTCATTTATATTTTATTTAACAGCTGTGCCCAGTTTTATCTTGTCACAAGAATGAAGCAAGGGACAAAGGTAAGTGCCACGCTCCCCGGCCACTGGGTGCCAATCCCCCTTCAATGTACTCCTTCTTCCCCAGAGTGCAGAAGCGTATAAAGACAGTTATGACATTGACACATGCATGAGCTATTATACATAATTACAAAAGCTGATTCTGTCATCACCACATCTTGTCTCATCAGTAGGAGTGAATGGCTGGGGGGACAGTGGCACAGTCAGCCTCGTTCAAAGTTTTGTCAATTATGGGTCTATATTCCACAGTGACCTTGAAAAGAAGTCAGTGGTAAGTTAAGCACAAAAATGTACAAAAAGCCATCTCTTGTGTTCCTTTTGAAAAATTTTAACTATAAAAGTAGATTTACGGCATGTGAACTTTAAGGTATTTGCTGCAGTATTTTCCAATAACAAATTCAAAAATGATCTACATGCGCAACAGGGGACTGTAAATGACGGCAGATCGGTAGAGTGGAACAGAGCAACGAAAATGACACTGTACCAGATTCTCAGTGCTTTGCTTTACAAAAATGCTCCCATCATGAAAAGTGGGAGAACCCTTGTCTATACCAAGACACTTCATGTTTAAACTATCTACTTCCAGTTTTTCTACTTCAAAGTAAATATTTATATAGGTAGAACATCCCTAATCCAAACATCTGAAATTCTCCCAAATCTGAAACTTTCTGAGCACCAGCATGACATTCAAAAGAAATGTGCTATGGAGTCAGATCTTCCGATTAAGGATGCTCAGACAGTAAGTGTAATGCAAATATTCCAAAGTCTGAACAAGCCTGAAATCCAAAACACTTCTGGTCCCAAGGATTTCAGAGAAGGAATACTCAAGCCGTGTATTAAATATGCACACACAGGAAAAGGTAGGCACATATACAAAGAAATTTAAACCATAATGGGTCATCTCTGGTTAGTGAGCTCTTATTTCAATCTCTTTGTACTTTCTAAAATGAGTATGTATTTCTTCAAAAATCACTGAAACTGGCTGGGCGTGTTGGTTCATGCCTGTTGGGGAGGCCAAGACAGGTGGATCACTTGAGCTCAGGAGCTCAAGACTAGCCTGGGCAACGTGGCAAAACCCCGTCTCTACAAAACATACAAAAATTAGCCAGGCATGGTGGCATGTGCCCGGGAGGCTGAGGTGGGAGGATCACCTGAGCCGAGGGGAGGTTGAGGCTGCAGTGAGATGAGATCGAGCCACCACATTTCAGCCTGGGCAAAAGAGATGAGACTCTATCTCAGAACAACAAAAACAAAACAAAAAACCTGAACCCGGAAACATTAAAAATAGACTTGTGCTAAGCGAGTGAAGTGTGACCTCTCTATACTATCAGGAAATGGCCTTCATGATAAATTCTGAAAATGACCCACTGCCTGAATCACAGACACACTAGATGATAGTGAGAGTCCAAAGGTAACTTCCACAGACACAGCTAAGTGATTATACGACTCTCCCTTACAAGTTATGAAAAGCTTAAGGGTAAAAGCTTTCTATCTTCATGATTTCTGAATCTCAATGCCCAGTGGAAATGCCACACAGGTGAACTGTGCTTGTGTGGAACAAGCTGCAACCCCCTACCACACCCTCGGCTGGCTGTTCCCAAGACGCTGTGCTTGTGTGGAACAAGCTGCAACCCCCCTACCACACCCTCGGCTGGCTGTTCCCAGGACGCTGCTTACCCCAACCCTGCCTCCATTTCTGCCCTTCTCTGCTTGCTCAGTGCCCAGGGGATGCTAAGGGCTGCACCACATCCCCTCTGCTCCCCTGCAGATGCTTCCAGTTGGCCCAGCCCATGGGAAGAGAGGGGAGGGGTCTCTTCTGGGCTCCCTTGGCTCGGGACTGGTTTCTGGTAGTGGCTCTGTCCCCACCACACAGATGCTGACTTTCTCGCTAGGTCCACAATCATCATCTCCTCCCCTGCCACCAGGCCTTGGACACTTGCTCCTGCCCAGTGACTTCCATCTGGCCCACACCACAGAGCAACCCTTCCTTAAGGCTCCTCTGAACCACCTGCAGGCACTGGATTCTGTTTCCAGCCCGAAGCCCGACTGCTGTCAGAGTGCCTTTTTCAGCGGTGCCTCAAATCTGTCGGGAGTTGATTTAAATCTGGCCTGCTCCTCCGCGTTCACCATCAGCAAGGCCAGCCCGCAGACCTGGGCGGGGCCGTGTGGGTGCTGGGCTGTGGTGAGAACGAGCTCCACACTGACCTTCCCAGTGCCGACGTCCACATAGGACAGGGTGTGCTTCCTCCAGTGCACCTCAAAGGGCTTCTTCTGTTGCCCCTGGATGGGCTTGGAGTGATCATACTCATCAATCTGCACCTGAGGCCAGAAACACCATCACATTTCTCATTACTCTAACAGAGCAATACAGAAAAAACACAGCAAACATTAAAATGATCTAAGAGACAGATGCCCTAGAACCCATTCCATTTCCACTTCAGCCCAGGAGGTTGGCACCATCAACACGTTCAGAACCCACAGAGGCCACATGGCTGGCCAGCGATGTGCAGCCAGCAGTGAGTCCAGAGTAATCCATGTCCGCATGTTCCCTTAGACATCCTTTATGTACCTAAGAGTTTATCAAATACTTTGTCTTTTTGCTCCAAGCGCTGGGAGACTACCTCCATCTTTTCTTTCAGCCTGTTTTTATTAAAAACACTTTTTTTCTCTTTTGAGACAGGGTCTCGCTATGTCACCTGGGCTGGAGCGCAATGGTGTGATCACAGCTCGCCAGAGCCTTGACTTCCCGGGCTCAATCAATCATCCTGCCTCAGCCTCCTGAGCAGCTGGTACCTCAGGTGTGTACCACCACGCCTGGCTAATTTTTTAATTTTTGTAGAGACAGGTTTCGCCATGTTGCCCAGGCTGGTCTAGAACTCCGGGGCTCAAGTGATCTGCCTGCCTCAGCCTCCCAAATGCTGGGATTACAGGTGGGAGCCACTGCACCTGGCTTCTATTCTAATTAAAACTCGTTGTCACCAACTAAATTTATGCTCCTGGCCAGGCACAGTGGCTCATGCCTGTAATCCTAGCACTTTGGAAGGCCAAGGTGGGTGGTTCACTTGAGGTCGGGAGTTCGAGACTAGCCTGGCCAACATGGTGAAACCCCGTCTTTACTGAAAATACAAAATTAGCCGGGCACGGTGGCATGCGCCTGTAACCCCAGCTGCTTGGGAGGCTGAGGCAGGAGAATCACTTGAACCTGGGAGGCAGAGGTTGCAGTGAGCTGAGATCGCGCCGCTGCACTCCAGCCTGGGGGACAATGAGACTCCATCTCAAAAAATTAAAAATAATAAATTTATTATTATTCTGTATTCTGGCAAACACGGATTCATATACTTTGCAGGAAAGACTCTTAATATGTATGAGGAGACGAGCAAATTCTGAGCAGTGATCACAGCCATCAGCATATTCTAGTGGAGGGTAAATCAGTAAAATTTCATGGTGAATAAAAATGATTTTCCCATTCACTGTGTTCAGCTGACTGGAAAGGCTGCCACCAGCCGCCCACACATGGCCCTGAACCAGCCTGTGCGCCTGCCTTGTGGAGCCTTTGTCCTTTTGCCGATGTGGTTTATCCTGAACTTGCATTTGCACCCCAAGCTTCCCTTTCCGTCGTTTTTTGCTATCATATGTGAAAAACTCTTACCAGGCAGAATCCAACACGTGTGCTCTGCACAAAAATCAGTTCATCTGAAGAACAAGTGACCACAGGGCAGTCTCCGTAATCAAACCACAGGACAGGCTCTATAATACCTTTTCCAAACCACAGGACAGGTTGGAAACAGTGGCTTACTCGTTATTTAGTAAACTGGCATTTCCTCCACAAGGCAGGTCTGAAACGGTGACTTACTTGTTATTTAATAAACTGGCATTTCCTCCACAGGGCAGGCTTGAAACGGTGGCTTACTCGTTATTTAATAAACTGGCATTTCCTCCACAGGGCAGGCTTGAAACGGTGGCTTACTCGTTATTTAATAAACTGGCATTTCCTCCACAGGGCAGGCTTGAAACGGTGGCTTACTCGTTATTTAATAAACTGGCATTTCCTCCATAGGGCAGGCTTGAAACGGTGGCTTACTCGTTATTTAATAAACTGGCATTTATTTCCTGGTCATGCCACGCTGGCTGCACTTCTAACCTTGGCCTTCTAACAGCAAAGCACATTGGCTTGGAGATGCCACTGCTGGCATCAGTGGATGCCGACCCAAAGCAAGGAACAGGTCACAGTGATCCAGAAAATGGCGAGAACCCAGGGATCAAAGTTACCAGAGGGAAAAAGGCATTTTTTGGATATACTTTTGGGGAAACGACATAAAATGCAGAGAAAATGCAGGGGTGGGGCTGAGTCCCACCAGGCGGGAGGAAAAGGCAGGTGCAGGTGGGCGTGGCGAGAAGGCGCACCTTGTAGTCTTCCCCGGCGTGCGCGCCCCGTGACTCCTTCCCCGCCTCTGCTCCATTGACGGTCTGCAGCGCACATAGCATCAGGTTCTGCAGCTCCAGGGTCTCCACCAGGTCCGTGTTCCAGACCATTCCTGGGGACACAAAAAGTTCCATCAGGGGCAGGTGGGACCCAGTCACACGGGCCCTCCGAGCTGTCAGCCTGGGCCTGCTAGTCCATGGAGTCACTGGTTGTGGCTTTACAGCTGGGGGCCAGCACCCATCCAGACAGCAAGCATGGAACTAAGTCAGCACTGACGGGACAGACACCAGCCCACCCTGCAGAAGGCAGGGCCCAACAGTGTGCACAGAGCCCACTGTCTGCTCACCCCGGTCAAACGTCTTCAGATGCTTCAGGTCTCCATAGAGCTTGCTGATTTTCCCACAACCTTCTTGCAACAAGCTTCCCACACGGAACACGGCAGCATGATTTTGCGTTGACTGTGGCACAAAATATTATTTGTAAACTTTTAATTCATAGAAGCAGCCATACCAAGAACTGCTTAACTTTTAGACCTGTTGTTTTGCATTTCATTTTATTTATGTAAATTAAACAGAAAAATTAGGAAATTTAGACTATGAGTTTATTACTCTGAACTTAAAAATGAAGTCTTGACTAAAGCTTCTGAATAAATGTTTCTATTATATACATATCTTAGACCCACACACATCCTTTCCAGCGGGATACAGCCAGGGTCCAGGACGCCAAGCAGACTGCCTGTGAGGCACCACGTTCCATACGGCTCCACGGCCAACCAGGCAGCACTGCCTCCCCACACCCCTGGCGGGACTCCTGATGTGGGGTCTGGTGGTGAACGTGACACGAGCCAGCAGCCCTGTGGTGATACACACAAGGAGGAACTGAGCAGAGCCCTGCTGATGGTGGGGTTGGAACCGAAGGTCTTCAAGGAGAGGGAGGGGCGTGGGTGGCTGGGGCCCTTGGCCCATCTGGCTACTGTCTTCTGCCTATTTTGTAGAAGCTCCTTGTACACTGAGTTCCTTCATAGTTTTACTATCACGAGAAACGTGCTAGGAGTGGACCTGAAGTTTACTTAGGTATGCTGGGAACTGGGCATCAGCTTTTGCTTCCTGTGGGACACACAGGCACCACCTCCGTGATCCCTCCTCCTCCTTGCTTCTCCCTCTAACTGTGCTTTGCTCCACTGACCCTAATTGTCTCTTCCTCTACCAATGCACCTTCGTGGTTCAATTTGGACATTTCATCTGATTTTCCTTAGACTCATACATAATCGTAACACTGTAATGCACATCAACCTAATGGTTTTTCAGGAAGAACAAATGAAAAAAATTGCATCTCAGAATCTAGTATTACATTCTTTCATGTCCTTTAGCAGCGACGTTTTCATATCATCTTTTCGTATTTCTGGTTACATTATTTCAAGGCATTTTAAATTTTTTGTTTGAAATGCGAATGAGATATTTACTGATGTCTGAGCAGATTACTGCTGGCACATTGCAAAGCTACTGATTTTTACATACAAATCTCTTATACACATACCTTACTACATTCTTGTTTTGTTTCTGTTAGTTTTTCCGTTTATTCTCTGGAAATTTTTTGGAAATTATATCTGTAAATAATGGCAACTGTATCTATTCCTTTTCAATATTTACTGCCAAGACCAGCTGGGTCATGGAAACCCTAACCCAGTGGCACTAGAGGAAGTAAAGACACACACACAGAAATATAGAGTGTGGAGTGGGAAATCAGGGGTCTCACAGCCTTCAGAGCCAAAAGCCTCAAACAGAGATTTACCCACGTATTTATTGACAGCAAGCCAGTGATAAGACTTACTGAAAGTATTCCTTACAGGAAATAAAGGGATGGGTCTGGCTAGTTATCTGCAGCAGGAGCATGTCCTTAAGGCACAGAGCGCTCATGCTATTGTTTGTGGTTTAAGAAGGTCTTAAGAGGTTTTCCACTCTGGGTGGGCCAGGTGTTCCTTGCCCTCATTACGGTAAACCCATAACCTTCCTGCGTGGTCGTCCTGGCCATCACGAGCACGTCACATGCTGCAGAGATTTTGTTTATGGCCAGTTTTGGGGCCAGTTTATGGCCACATTTGGGGGCCTGTTTCTATCAATTTACCTCATTTCTTTTTTTGATTGTTACTATTAATAGCCAGAGTCAGCAGAAAAATCCCTTCCCCCAACGAAATGCATTTCCGCAAGCATAGGAAGCTCTGTTTGTTCAGTGCTGACTCCGGCACCTCACGGAGCCTGGGATACAGCAGGCACCAAGACACACCTTGTTTGGTGGGAACACTTCTAGTATTCTCACTTCAAACTATCTCAGATTTGCCATTTCTATATCCTAAGGCATGTTCCCATTCTCTAACGCAAGGGTTCCTTCTTTCCCAGCTGGCCTCCAACCCTACAAAAGCACTGCAGGGCATCACTCAGCCTTCTGTGCCTTAGTCACGCTGTTCTTCTCACCGTTCCACAAAACCTCCCTCAAGCCCAGCCTCACCTGAAGACCGAAGGGCACGGGCCTCTGAAAATTGTCAGCAGGGAACCTGTTCTCTTGTGTCTAACACCAAATGCCTTTCAGAATAGGACTAAAGCAGTGGACTTCTTTCTAGAAAATACGCAGAAATTCTTGCAAATAGCAGACAAGAGATCTCATTCATGGACAAGAATCCTTGTTATTAGAGGAATTGAGTTTCTTAGACTGACTATATATCAGGTTCTCCACGGCCCCATGGCTAATGGCTGCCATACTGGACGGCAAACACTCAACATTTCCATCATCACAGACGGTCCTACTGGACCGACTCCCAGCAGCACAGGCCGCACAGATCACTGTCCACCTGCCGCCCACTCTCCCTCTCTGCTGAGTATATTTAGGGGCAGCAACAGGTCTAGCTTAAAGACGTTTCCGAGCTGCTGGAAGCCAGGCATGATGACATGATCAATATCTGGGCCTGAGATGTAAGCACCAGTGTTGTGTTGAACTCCAGGAAACCTCTAAGAGAAAGCTGCCCTGCTGGGGACGGAGCTTCTCCGGCAGTCCTGCGGCTCCCTCTCCTCCACACTGTGACTCATCCATGACAGCCAGCGACGGTCAGGGCACGGAGGTCATGCCCAAGCACACACGAGTGAACCACAGAAGGCTGTCCTGGATGCTAAGCAGTCACTAATTCTGCCCTGGCCTGCTGACCTTCTATGTGGAGAAGAAGTGCACTTCTGGTCTCTTTCATATTCTTGATACAGTGAGGAGTATGTCCTACTGCTGTTTACCTCCACATACTGGTGCAGCCTCGTATGTTTATTGCAGCACTAGTCACAATAGCAAAGTCATGGAATCAACCTAAGTGCCCATCAACGGACGACCGGATAAAGAAAATGTGGTACATATATACCATGAAATACTACTTGGCCATAAAAAAAGAATGCAATCATGTCTTCTGCAGCCAGACGGATGGAATGGGAGGTCACTATCCTAAGTGAGTCAGAAGGTCAAGTGTCACACATTCTCCCTTGGAAGTGGGAGCTGAACGGTGAGTACACATGGACACACGGAGTGGACTAACAGACTGTGGGCTCCAAAAAGCGGGAGGGGTGGGGATGAGCAATTACCTGCTGAGTACAACACACACGACTTGGGTGACAGGTACATGAAAAGCCCAGACTCCACCACCTCCCAGTACATCCACACAAAGCTGCACCTGCATCCCCCTAGATCTGTTTTTAAAAAAACAAAACCAGTGCAGGGCCAGGTATGCAGCCAGCCTGCTCACTCCAGAGCGAGTCCAGGCTCTTACCTTCTGCATGCTGAGTCGCAGTTCCGATGTTCTTATGCTTCTTCCATCAGCAAATCTCAATTTGTCAAGATTCGTGACAGATTCTTCCCCAGCATTTGGTTTAATTGGAGGGACTTTATCTCCTAAAACAACAACAAAAAGAGCTAGAATTTAACTTTTGAAAACCGTTTTAAAAAAACAAATGGATTTAGTACTACACACAAAAATGTAGCATAGCCGCTCAAGGAGCCTGGAAACGGTGTAAGTCTCCTGAGCTAACACACTGCCAACCCACCCTACATCTGAGGCCATCTGTTGAGTTGGGGCCAATTTTAAAGAACAGACATAAAAGGCAAAACTGTTGGCACACAGTAGATATCCATTAAGTGATCTTAGAGTGAATAAACTAGAAATCATCTCTAAAATTAAAAAATTAAAATGTAGGCCAGGTGCAGTGGCTCACGCCTGTAATCCCAGCACTTTAGGAGGCTGAGGTAGGTGAAGCACTTGAGGTCAGGAGTTCAAGAGCAGCCTGGCCAACGTGGCAAAACCTCATTTCTACTAAAAACACAAAAATTATCTGGCATGAGAACTGCTTTAACCCGAAAGGTGGAGGTTGCAGTGAGCCGAGATCGCGCCACTGCACTCCAGCCTGGGCAACAGAGCGAGACCCTGTCTTACAAAAAAAAAAAATTAAATGTATACAGATTTATATACATTAAGTGTATATAAATGTCACTCCACTAACGGGAAAAAATGACACCTTCCAGATGGTGGTCCCAAGGGGCCGGCCGCCCCACTGTCCTTCACATTAGGGGGAGGAAGGTGGCTGCTGTGTGCTTGCAAGTCACCTGCTGATTTGGACTGTTGTGTGCTCTCACCTATACTTCAAGATTTGCAATTTTTTTTTTTTTTTTTTGAGATGGAATTTTGCTCTGTAGCCCAGGCTGGAGTGCAGTGGCACCATCTCGGCTCACTGCAACCTCCACCTCCTGGTTCAAGCAATCCTCCTGCCTCAGACTCTGGAGTAGATGGGACTACAGGAGTTTGCAACCATACCTGGCTAATTTTTGTATTTTCAGTAGAGATGGGGTTTCACCATGTTGGCCAGGCTGGTCTCGAACTCCTGACCTCAGGTGAGCCACCTGCCTCAGCCTCCCAAAGTGCTGGGATCACATGTGTGAGCTGCTGCGCACGGCCAAGATTTGCAACTCTTGTGTTTCCAAGATGTCTTGAAAAAAGTTTTAAAGGTTTTTTTTTTTTATAAAATTATATGTATTTTTTCTTCAATAGGTAACACATGCAGGAGATAGGAGGTATGAAATGCAGGAGTCAAACAGGCCCTGTCCCGCCTACCGCCTCTCCTCGGGACCAGGCTGTGGGTCTCTTGACGGTCTGCTCAAATGCTTCTAGGCTTGCTGGTGTCTCTTTTCCTTTTGTTTATAACGCTTTAAAAATTGATCATCCATTAAAATTGACTTTTTTCTTTCGGTGGACAGTTCTACAGTTTCTTTTTTCTTTTTTTTTTTTGAGACAGTGTCTCCTCCCTCTGTTGCCCAGGCTGGAGTGCAGTGGTGTGATCTCGGCTCACAGCAACCTCCGCCTTCTAGGCTCCAACAATCCTCCCACCTCAGCCTCCCAAGTAGCTGGGACTACCCAAGTGTGAGCCACCATGCCCAGCTAATTTTTGTATTTCTGGTAGAGACGGGGTTTCACCACCTTGCCCAAGCTGGTCTCGAACTCCTGAGCTCAAGCAATCGGCCTGCCTTGGCCTCCCAAAGTGGTGGGATTATAGGTGTGAGCCACTGCACCCGGCCTCAGTTCTACCGATTTTAACACATGGATAGATGCATGTAACCACTTTGGGAGGCTGAGACAGGAGGATCACTTGAGGTCAGGAGTTCAAGACCACCCTGGGCAACACAGGGAGACCCTGTCCCTAGAATACATTTTTAAAAATTAGCCAGATGTGGTGGCGTGCACCTGATCGTACCACTGCACTCAAGCCTGGGTGACAGAGGGAGACTATGTCTAAAAATACACATATATATATTTTTGGGGGGGTCGGGGGTTGGGGGAGAAGTAGGGATGCTACAAGCATTTTTTCTTTCCTTTTCATTTTTAAAAATTAAAGCGTAAAGATACAGTAAAATAAACTCATCATTTTTAATGTAGGTTTTTCAAACTTTGACACACACAGAGCTGTGTCTGTAAGCCTCAGCACAATCAGGAAACAGCCTCTGGCAACCACCAATCCCTTTTCTTCCCTAGATGTGCCTTGTCCAGAATGTCCTATCAACAGGACCACAGGCGTGCAGCCTTTTGAGTCCGACTCCACAGCATTCTGCGTGAGATGCTGCATGTGTGAGCGGTTTCTCAGATGTCAAGTATAGGGTATTCTCACAAAATGTTCTTTTCTGCATTTTCAAAGAAAGAGAAGCTCAAAATTTCTACACTGCTCTGAGAGAAGTGGTATCAGACCTCACTGCGACAAAGTGCAGGGCTATGGAGTGAGACAAGCACAACCTGTGGCGTCAGGAGCGAGGCACCTGAACTCCGCCTTCGCCGATGATCAGCAACGGCTGGGGATGAGACGCCGGCTCTGCATGTGCTGGCCTCCTGAGCTGTCGTCAGATCCACAGAGACACAGTGTCTGAAGTAGCTACCCTTTTAATACTGCCTGTACCTTTCTAACTACAGATAGAAAAGGGTCATGTTTATAAGGTACGGCGGTGCTAGTTTTTATTTCACTTGAGTCCATACAAAAAGCAAAAAGCGCCTGTTCTATAAAAACAGCAGAAATGATGCTAAACAGTTAACACCAGAGAAAGCTAACGGGAAGAACGTGGGCCTGGGGTCCCACCATCCTTGCCACGCAAACATCCACCAGTGCCTCATCCACCTCACACTGTTCTGAGCACACGAGGCTGCATGACCACCGTGAGGATCTCTGGAGGTGGGAACGATGCTAACTGTCCTGTTCTTCGTGCACATAAGACTCACACTCCCACACACGGTATTCCTTTTCCTGCACATTATTTGACGCTATCCTGAAAAGAAAACCAGCAAGTGAAATCGAATCTGTCCGTAGAGGGTGGGAATCCTGTTCACTCTAAGTCAGCCCTTCTCCTCTAATAGAGGTTAGTTGTACTTTTAGAATGGCCTAAATTATTTTTCTAAGTACCAAGAAGTTACATATTCATTCATGCCAACTATTTTAAATATTTCATTGCAAATAAGTGATTTTTATCAGGCAAGTAATACGTAATGAACTTCCCCTAAAAATAACAGCTTCCTAATAGTGCTTTTTCTAAACAGAAAATAATGACTGCAAAATAATTTAAAAAAAAAAAATGTAACCCCAAAAATGTCACCTTAACTGTTAAGATCCCCAACCAGCCTCTATCTAGTCTCAACATTACCACCATATAATCTCTGGATTTCTCAGTTTAATCACTTCTAGGGGAAAAAACCCAGACTACCTCTATATGCTCACTACGCAAATTTCCAGTAAGAAATCAAGGCTTTGTAACCTGGCTGGGTGCAGTGGCTCATGCCTGTAATCCCAATACTTTGGAAAGCTGAGGCAGAAGACTGTTTGAGTCTAGGAGTTCAAGACCAGCCTGGGCAATATTGTGAGACCCTGTCTCTACCAAAAAAAATTTTTTTAAATTAGCCAGGTGTGGTGGTGCACATCTGTAGTCCCAGCTACTTGGGACTCTGAAGGTTGAGGTGTTGAGGACTGCTTGAGCTCGGGAGGTTGAGGCTGCTATGACTGTGCCACTGCACTCCAGCCTGGGCTGACCCTGTCTCAAAAAAAAAGAAAAAAGACTAACCTCCTGCGCCTTCTCAAATAGTCTGGGTCCTGAAGAAAACACTTACCAGGCCTGCACGACTCTGCGATGCTCAGGGCACATGCCTGACCAGACAACCAGGTCCAACAGCGAGTTTGCCCCGAGGCGGTTGACACCATGTGCAGAGGCACAGGCGGCCTCCCCACAGGCGTACAGGCTGGGCACAATCTGATCCTGGCCATTCCCGTGCCTCAGGACCTGTGGAAAGGAAGATTTCAGGTGAAATGTCAAGATGCCCATTCCTCCACAAGCCCACCTCCCTCAACAGGGTGTCTGTGCTGCAGGTCAGAGAAAGAGAGGGAAGTAGGTCGGGCATGCAGTGGCTCACGCTTGTAATCCCAGCACTTTGGGAGGCTGAGGCGGGTGGATCACCTGAGTTCAGGGGTTCGAGACCTGTCTGGCTAACATGGTGAAACCCCGTCTCAACTAAAAATATAAAAATTAGCCAGGCATGATGGCAGGTGCCTGTAATCCCAGCTACTCGGGAGGCTGAGGCAGAAGAATCGCTTGAACCTGGGAGGCGGAGGTTGCAGTGAGCCGAGATCGCGCCATTGCACTCCAGCCTAAGCGACAGAGCGAGTCTCCATCTCCAAGAAACAAAGAGAGGGAAGTAAAGACCATATCTAAGAAGGAAGTAAGGACCATAGCTACTCTTCTTCAGAAGGAAACTTCCGAATGTATACCCCAGTTTCCCCTCTGCCCCTGAGCACCTGCTGTTACAAGCAGGTCAGAGGGCCTCCAATGTCAGCATCTGCGACTGTCCCCCGTGTCCCATGTTCCCGAGGCCCTCACCACCTGTGCTCCAGCTCAGACCCAGGAGCACGGCAGGTGGAGGAACATCAGCAGGGGAGACTGATGTTCCAGACTCTTCTACCCCCTGTTCACCTCTTCATCTATGCGGGGAAAGTAACAGCTTCCACCCACCTCGCCCAACAAGGAGGCTAAGTGACTGACAAGCTCTGTGTGAACCGCAAACCACTCACAGGTATGAATTATAAAGATCCTTCGATGTACAAGATCATTAGAAATAGGAATTATAAAGATCCCTTGATGTATAAGCTCATTAGAAATAACACAAGATCATATAGGAAAGTAATTATAAAATGGGAAAAGCTGCAAATGATGTATCTATGACAGTTTACTAAGGAGGAATAAATTATTAAGCCTCCTTCCATCCTCCAGTGATAGAAATTTCAAGTGCAATTTAGCAAACAATACAGTACTTTCTGGAAGGAAACATCTGTCTCTTCCTCTAAGATCTAAAGAGACAACTGCGAGATGGGCCCCATTGTCCCAGCCTTCTTTCCAGCTGTGGGAGAGAAGCCAGCACCATCACCTGCCCCTCGTAGCTGGTGGGAATGCCGTCCATGTTATAATGCACGGTGGGGAGGACAGGGATCGGCTCCTTCGTGACGTCCACACCAGCGAAGATCATGGCTGTCTCTGAAATGCCGGGCAAGGGCATGGCCAGCTGCTCTGGAGGTAGGTGGTGCAGCTGCAGGTAGACGTGATCTTTCTCAGGGCCACAGCCTCTGGTAAGACAGAACACCATCACATAAGGCAGAGAATGGCAACGGCAGCAGACCTGAGAATACGTCATCTTGGAAGCGTGTGAGTTTCAACATGTTTTGATACTGAGGAAAATTTCCCCTCATGTACGGCCACCCTCTCATCAAATCTTTTCTAAGCATCTACTGTATGCCAGGGACAATCCCAGGTGCTGGGACACAGCTGAGAACCAGAACAAAAACTCTGCCCTTACTGAACTCACACTCGTCTCAGGGATCACAGCCTGCAGCGGCTGTCCTTGGTAAAAGCATTAGGCCTCTATGCCAAATAGTCGTCCCTGCGTATCCGTGGCAGGTTGGGTCCAGGACCCCCACGGACACCAAAATCCGTGGATGCTCAAGTCCCTAATATAAAATGGCAGAGTATTTGCATATAACCTATGCACATCCTCCTCCATATTTTAAATCATCCTCATTTCAAGTTTTACATTTAAGTTGTACAGCAACTCCAGGATTACTCATAGTACCTAATACAATGTAAATGCTAGGTAAATAGCTGCTACACTGTGTTGCTTAGCGAACAATGACAAGGAAAAAAAAAAGTCTGCGTGTTTGTAAGGATGCAATTTTATTTTCAGTACATAGTTGGTTGAAACCACACATGTGGAACCGATGGATACGGAGGGCCACCATATTACAAGAAACCATCCGACTTCTTTTTTTTTTAATATAAAAATGTAAAACCTCTAAAGGCCACACCAGATACCAGCAGATATTTAGCAAGTGTTATCACATTAAAGAACAGGGTCAGGCAATGAAAGAGCTGCAAACTGTTCTTCTGAAAGGCAAATGACCCACACACTTTGAAAGCTGCCGAAAAACATCTGTGGGTATCAGACACCACACCCAAGGCTCACACGCCGACTTCAGGTTGGGTGCGTGTCTCTCTCTCCCATACTCCGTCACATACTCACACACACTAAGAGAAACTCTGTTCCACAGATTTGAGAAAGAAACTGGCTAAAATTTTCAAAATGTAGGTCTTTAGGAAAATATCGCAGACTAACAGACGCCTGCCGGCAGCTGAGAGAGGTGGCTGTGCACATGTGCCTGCACACGAAGGTGAGGGCGAGCGGTGCTGAAACTCACAGAAGCAACCCCGGCCCGTGTGCCCGCTCAGACAGTGCTGGTGGTAAACCACACGCACCTTCCTTCGCGGATCTCCAGAGTCATCCACCGAGACACCACATCTCTAGACGCCAGGTCCTTCGCGATGGGGGCGTATCGCTCCATAAACCTTTCGCCTTGACTGTTAATGAGAATGCCTCCCTCTCCACGACATCCTTCCGTAATGAGACAACCAGCACCATATGTGCCTGCAAAAAACCACACATTTATAACCTAACAATTGCTAGGTCTCTATTTCAAATGCATTACTTTTTTTTACAAGATATTTTTTGGGGGAGAGACAAAAAAGATATGCAGAAGGCATTATATGCAAAACTGAACAGAAAGAACAGTTAAGATACAGTAGAAAGTCTGGATAACAAAAAGCACTGACAAGGCTGACAGCTGCAGCAGAGGCTGGGGCAGAGTGGCGTCCCCAGAGAGGAGAAAGGCCGGCCCACAGACCTCTGGCCAATACTCTGATTACAGCCCGGTGTACGTTGGATGCCTCAAATTTTGTTTTAATTTTTGAACATTCTTTTGCACTATGATACTGTGGTGACTAGTTAAGAATACTAGCTTGGAGAATTCATATCTAAGTTACCCAAACAGTGGCAAGAACAGTAATAATGATTATTTTAGTTCATCTTTACACTGCACTTGCTATGGGCAGTTCTAGCTGCTTTCCACATATTAAACTCATTTAAGTCTTACAACAACTCTGGGTAGTATGACCCCCTTTCTCAGTGACAAGCAAATTAACGCTTGGTAACATCCAGTCATGCAGCTGAGGACAGAGCTCAAACCCAAACCTGGGCAGTCCGGCGGTCTGTGCCCCAAACAGCGGCTCTGTGACTCCTCAGTGCGATGAGAAACAGGGCGTGCCAAGCTCTCGAATTTTAACAAAGGAGATCAAAAACCCTAAACTAAATGTATTTCAAAAGCTACAATTTTTATTAGTATACAAAAAGGGCAATCTTGCTTTCAAGACAAGAATGTGATTCTTGCATCTCACCTGCCTTTTGATTTTCTAAGTTTCCATGCTCTTTTTTCTGTGGTTACTTCTCACATATTGAAGACAAAGCATGAGAAGTGGAGCTCTAAGCAAATTACAGAGGGAATTCAGGGGCTCACTGACATTTTGCTGATTAAAAACAGTAATAAAAAATACAACAGGCCGGGTGCAGTGGCTCATGGCTATAATGCCAGCACCCTGAGGGGCCGAGGCAGGAGGATCGCCTAAGCCCTGGCGTTTGAGACCAGCCTGGGCTT
This sequence comes from Homo sapiens, assembly GCF_000001405.40. Taxonomy (NCBI): domain Eukaryota; kingdom Metazoa; phylum Chordata; class Mammalia; order Primates; family Hominidae; genus Homo; species Homo sapiens. Next base: position 122,894 of record NT_187688.1, read on the forward strand.
AAAATGGTGACACCCTGTCTCTACCAAAAACAAAAAAACCCTCAAAAATTAGCTGGGCATGGTAACACATGCCTGTAGTCCCAGCTATTTGGGAGGCTGAGGTGCAAGGATCGTTTGAGCCTGGGAGACAAAGGCTGCAGTGAGTCAAGATTGCTCCACTGCACTCCAGCCTGGGCAACAGAGCAAGACCCCATCTCTAAACAAATTAAAAAAAAAACCTACAACAAATCCATTTCTTATTTTCATCCCTTCCAGGGATCAGAAAGCTGACACTGACAGAGAAAGAGAAGACACAGGTCTGGTTCTTTGGCACCACTTCAGGGGTCTCCATCGTCCACAGGTCAGAAAAGCAACCCAGAAAAGTCCAGGACGAGTCACCTCAAACAAGAGGCAGACGTGTGTGTGTCTGTCTCTGACTCATTTTGAAGAACCTCCTCCAAACTCAAGACTTCAACTGTCATTTCTGAGTTAATGTCTCCAAATTGCACATTCGTAACCTCAACCGTCAGACGTCCCCAAGACGAGCTCATCTTCCCCACGACAAGCTCCCTCAGTGGTCACGTGGGCTGAGCCCAGCGCCCAACGTCACATGGGGTTCTCTCATGGCTGTGTCTTAACTTTACATCCCATTGTCACGGAAGCTCTGTGTTGTCCTACAAAGCTGAAATCTGCCTGTGCTGCTTCTTGGTTCCACGGCATTCACCCAGCTCTCAGAATGCTCACTCAGTAAACCCCGATGGAGACCCTACCATGTGCTGGGCGTGGAGCACCCCAGTTAATGAGAAGACCTGCCTGCCCGAGTTGCTGACAACCTCACTGCAAAGAGGGACACTGAACAATTCCTGCTTTACTTTTTTTTTTTTTTTTTTTGAGACGAAGTCTTACTCTGTTGCCCAGGCTGGAGCGCAGTGGTGCGATCTCGGCTCACTGCAACCTCTGCCTCCCAGGTTCAAGCATTCCTCCCGCCTCAGCCTCCCAAGTAGCTGGGATCACAGGTGCATGCCACCATGCCCAGCTGATTTTTTTATGTTTAGTAGAGATGAGGTTTCACCATGTTGTGCAGGCTGGTCTTGAACTCCTGACCTCAGGTGATCCACCTGCCTTGGCCTCCCAAAGTGCTGGGATTACAGGTGTGAGCCACCATGCCCGGCCTCAATCCCTGCTTTACTGCTGGCATAAGTATCACCAAGGCAGGGTTTAGGGCTCTTGAGAAATGCATAAGATGGTGGCCCAAACTGCCTTAGGGGAAGGGGAGTGTGGGAAAAGTCTCCTTAAGGAAATGACATTGAAGTTAGGACCTGAGAGCTATGGAAGCTGATCTTCAAAACCATGTTATTACATAAAACTATGGAAGAGCAATGAGTAGGCACCACACGCTTACAAGACACACGAGCCGAACGCCTTCCGGGCAAGGCGTCCTGCCCTACCTGTGGGGTGGAACTGAACAAACTCGAGGTCCTGGCAAGGAAGGCCTGCCCTGGTGATCATGGCCGTGCCGTCGCTGGTGCTGGTGTGGGCAGACGTGCAGCTCAAGTAGGTGCGCCCGTAGCCTATGGAAACAACAGAGAGCAGTGACTGCACACAGTGGCCCACGTCCGGACCTCCTGTCTAATGAGATCACAGAACGGACAGGGCAGCCCCCGGGCACCATCTTCTCAGTGCTGTGTGCACACAACCCCCTACTCACGCACACCCCACACACATCACTGGGGGCCACGCCAGTGGTGCTGCTACCCTGCGCAGGTAGGATAGAAGCCTGGGATCAGAGAAGAGACTTCCATTTATATTTTATTTATTTATTTATTTATTTTGAGATAGGGTCTAACTCTTGTCGCCCAGGCTGGAGTACGGTGGCACAATCTCGGCTCACGGCAACCTCTGGCTCCCAAGTTCAAGTGATTCTTCTGCCTCAGCCTCCCAAGTACCTGGGAATACAGGTGTGCACCACCACATCCAATTGATTTTTGTATTTTTAGTAGAGACTGGGTTTCGCCACGTTGGCCACGCTGGTCTTGAACTCCTGACCTCAGGTGATCCACCCACTTCGGCCTCCCAAAGTGCTGGGATTACAGGCATGAGCCACTATGCGTCTGGCCCTATTTGTATTTTAGATTTGTGCTGTTCAAAAGGTTTCCCCAGTAAGCATATACTACTTTTATAATGAAAATTTTAAAATTTTTATGGATTTTGTTTTTTTCCCCCAGATTTACTGAGGTATGATTGATGAATTAAACAAAAAACAATACTGTATATATTTAAGGTGTACAGCGTGATGATTTATTTTGTGAACTGATGACACAATCAACTTAATACACATCTATCACCTCATACAATTATCCTTTTTTTTGGAGATACAGACACCTAAGGTCTACTCTCTTCGCAAATTTCAAGTTATATTAATGATAGCCACCGTACTGTATGATTTTAACTGTAGCCACCATGCTGTATAATGTTAACTCTGGCCACCATGCTCTATAACATTAACTCTAGCCACCATGCTGTTTATCAGACCTTCAGAACTTCACCTTGTGACGGGAAGTTACACCTTTAATCAGCATCGCCACAGTCTGCATTCCCCCAGCCCCTGGCAACCACTGTCCTATTCTGTTTCTGTGAGTTGTGACAGTTTTAGATCCACATATGAGTGACATGCAGTATCTGTCTTTCTGTGCCTGGGTCGTTTCACTTAACATAATGACTTTGGGTTCATCCACGTTGTCACACATGACAGGATTTCCTTCGTTTTCATAGCTGAATAATATTCAGTTGTGTACACACACCACATTGTCATTAAACACCAAAAATTTTTAGGTTGTTTCCATATCTCGGGTATTGTGAATAACGCTGCAATGAACATGGGGGTCCAGGTGTCTCTTTGAGCTTCTGATTTCATGCCCTTTGGATATACACCCAGAAATGAGGTTGCTGGAGCACATGGTAGTCCTGTGACTTTTGAGGAACCTCCAGAGTTTTCCACAATAGTTGTACTAATTTACATTCCCACCAACAGCACACAGGGTTCCCTTTTCTCCACATCCTCATCAACACTCACTATCTTTTGTCCTCTTGGTAACAGCCATTCTAACTGGAGCGAGATGAGATGATACTCATTGGGGTTTTAATTTGCATTTCTCTGGTGCTTGGTGATGTTGAGCATTTTTTCATACATCAACTGGCCATTTGTATGTCTTCTCTGGAAAAATATCTATTCAAGTCCTTTGCCCATTTTTAGTAGGGTTGTTTTTTAGTAGGGTTTAGTAGGTTGGTTTTAGTAGGGCTTTTTTTTATTTTTTATTTTTTTTTGCTATTTTAGATACTAAGATATCATTAGATATATGGTTTGGAAAATATTTTTTCCCACCCTGTAGTTTTGCTGATTTTTTTTCTTGGCTGTACTGACACTTCTTAACTTTTAAAGTGGCTAAAGTAACTGCCACTGTATAAAATTAAAGTTTTTTATTTTCATTATGTGGAGAAGACAGACTTATCTATCCCAGGAATCAGTATAAACATAGAACCCACTAAAACAAGAGGGATTTTGCCAGAAAACCCCATGTGACTCTTCGGGCCACAGTTTCCTCATCTAAAATCGGGAGAGGTACGCTGTGAACCTGACGGCAGCCACTACCGACTAATGAGGGCCATGCTTTCTCACCCCGAGGCAGGTGCTGCTGTCCTCACCCTTTACAGGTGAGGAACCATGGCTGGGAAAGGCCATCACCCTCACGTGGTTATATCAAGGCCTGTGTCTGAACTGCTATTCTACAATGCCTCTATTTTCCTTAAAATAAAGAGACTCTAAATGAAATTTATTCATTTTTACAAAGGAAATAAAGTAGAAATTAGATTCCTACCCTGTGGCAACAATAGTATTCTTTGCTCTTATGCGATGGATGGACCCGTCCTGTATGCACAGTGCGAAGACACCACGGCACTCCCCATTCTCCATCAGGAGATCCAAGGCAAAATACTCCACAAAACAGCTGGTATCATATCGCAGAGACTAAAAGAAAGAAAAAAAAAGGGCAAGAAGTGTTAAGCCAACCTTTAAGGTTTTAAGGTGATATCTGCTCATGTGAATAGGTGAAAGAACTTGATCCAAATGGACCAGGTAAATCCAAGGAGATCAGCAACAGTGTCAATGACACTGTCAGAGCCCGAGAGGCATTCCACGCCCAGCAGTACCAACAAGGCAGGTGTGCTAGAGAACGCAGCAGCAACAGCTCCTATGTTGGTGACACATTTCCTACTTCTACACAACCCGAAGAGGCACTCCACACTGTCCGGTGGCCGCATGCAGCTCCACTCGGAGTCTGGTGCCAGAGTGAGATCCGCAGACCATGGGGTCACAGCCCAGATGGGAGCTACTGGCAACACATAACCACTTAATTAATTAAAATAAGTCAAAACGTTCAGCTCTTCAGCTACACCTGCCACATTAGCAACAGCCCCATGTGGCTGGCAGCTACCAAAGCGGACGGTTGCAGACGAGCAGATTCCGGCACCGCAGAAAGGTAGGCGCCGGACAGCGCTGCCCGCCTGGACCTGCCGTTCCCTCAGCCAGCGCAAGTCGCTCTCGTGAGCCTGGGCCAGCTCCCCACATGACAGCTCCTGCTCCGGAAGGAGCCGCCGTCTCCTCCCACCACACACTTGTCGATGCACTCAGCCACAGAGAAGTCACTGGTGTTCTAACAACCTGCACATTACTGATCCGTCCCCATGCATCAGAAAACAACAAAGCTCAGAACATGGATTACTCTGAATCAATACTGTTCAGGATATTGTTTGGTCATGCCAAAGTTGACCCTGATTACCCAGTAACTATTGTCACCTCAAGTCTTTGTCCAGTGATAACAGTTAATATGAAAACAATCCATGGCCGGGTGTGGTGGCTCACACCTGTAATCCCAGCACTTTGGGAGGCCGAGGCAGGTGGACTGCCTGAGCTCAGGAGTTCGGGAGCAGCCTGGGCAACATGGGAAACCCTGTCTCTACTAAAATACAAAACATCAGCAAGGCGTGGCGGCGTGCACCTGTAGTCCCAGCTACTCTGGAGGCTGAGGCAGGAGAATCGCTTGAACCCGGGAGGCAGAGGTTGCAGTGAGCAGAGATCGCGCCACTGCACTCCAGCCTGGGTGAGAGTGAGACTCCGTCTCAAAAACAAAGCAAAACAAAACAAACAAACCAAACCAATCCATTCAGGAACTCAGAGGTGGTAAAAGAGCCTTAAAATACTTGTTCTTTGTCTTTTTTTGAGACAGGTCTCCTGTTGCTCAGGCTGGAGTGCAGTGGTATGAACATGGCTCACTGTCTCAAGTGATCCTCCTGCCTCAGCCTCCTGAGTAACTGGGATTACAAGCATGTACCACCATGCTCAGCTACTTTTTAAACTTTCTGTAGAGACAGGGTCTCACTATGTTCTCCAGACTGGTCTCAAACTTCTGGTCTCAAGTGATCCTCCTGCCTTGGCCTCCTAAAGTGCTGGGATTACAGACGTGGGCCACTGTGCCTGGCCTGCTTGCTCTGTTCTTACATGCTGAGTGTCACATATCCCAAGTGAAAACCTGGTATATAAGATTATCAATTCAACTTCCCAACATAGAGGCAACAACTCACACATTGCCTTAGGGGCAGCTTCTCAAGGCACACGCCTGCTCCTGTCACATCCACAGTCGCTGCATGTGCCCCACACGGCTGTTCTCTGTTGCTTTTTACGCAATCTCTGGCTGACTCACTGGGCACGCTAACCCATTCCCCGCTGTCACCACAAGCCCCAGCACTATGTGTCCTGTCTCAGGTGGACGGGGGGCAGCCTTACCCTCCCATATAAGGTGTGCAATATTGAGTGGCCGGTCCGATCAGCCACACAGCAGCACCGATGGGCCTGCCTGCCCTTTCCAAACTTGAGGCTGTGTCCGCCAAATGCACGCTGATAAATCTTCCCATCTTCAGTTCTGCTAAACGGCATGCCATAATTTTCTACCTGTGAAAGATAAAAACAAACAAAAGCCTTATTACCCTAAAGGAGTCAAGATATTCACAGCTAATCTACACTAAACAACTTTAATACAAATCTGCAAACCCAAATTAACCTATTTTATGAAAATGTCAACACTTCATCAAAGAGAAGTTTTTCTTATTACATGTAATACATAGTTCATGATGGACAAAGACTTCTCTTGTGAGCTTTGCTAATCACCATTCTTTCGGCTGCCACATCTGCCTCAACTGCTTACATTTTTTCCAGGACTCTTGTACTGGAAACAGACCACCAGAGCACCCAGAGCCTCCCGCCCATCACCTCGACCATGGCAGTGGGGGCCTGCTCCGTCACGTAGTGGATGGCATCCTGGTCCCCCAGCCAGTCGGAGCCCTTCACGGTGTCATAGAAATGCCACCTCCAGTTGTCCTCCTCCATGTTCCCCAGAGCAGCATTGATTCCAACCTGGAAACACCAACCACTCCTTACAAGCCACAAACAGGAGCCCCAGCTTTGTCTTCCAGGCCCAAATCCACCCGCTGGGGGATTCAGAGAAAGCCAGCTACTCACATGGTGACTCCCAGTGAGGGCTGACCTCAGCAGAGGAGCAGCCAGGCCTGACAGATTCCAGATCACAACCCCTCCCAGACTCACCCAGTGATTCCATCCCTTAGCCTCAGTCTCCTCATCTGTGTGGTGGAGACAGAGGGAACTCCAGGAAGGGCTGACTGGAGCAGTGAGTGAAAGGCTACCTGTAATATGCTTATTACCTAACGTATCTGGCACAGAAAAGGTACTCCATGAATCTCTCCGCATAATTTTATTAACAAATCTTCCCAACGGCATTTACGGGCATGTGTTAAAGATTAGAAGTGCTTCCTGCCAAGTAATAAACTCCATACTCAGAGTCGCACTCCCCTGTACCCCTACTTCCTTTGGCTGTGTGTGCCCACCACCGTCTTACCCCTCAGAGAGTCCCAGAAGACAGCAGCACCAGGGACAAATGAAACCCTTGCCCTTTTCTTCCCCAACCTAAATTCTGAATCCTCCTCTTTAGATGATCTCCTTTTCTTAAGGTGTTGGGGTGGCAGGGGTGGGTGGGGAGGGTAGATGGTCAGAGAAAACCCAAGTGTGACTGGAGTCTGAATTAAGAGTGACAACAAGGCTCCCGCCCTTCAAAGTCCCCAGGGAAGAGGCTCCAGGGAGAGACCCCTGAATGGGTGAGCTGAGTAAGGCACAGCAAGAGGCCAAGTGGCTGGAGCACAGGGAGGAGGCAGGAGGCTGCCCAGGTAGAAAGTGCGAGGCTGCGCGGGACCTGCACGGAGTGGGAGCACAGTGGGGCACCTTTCTCTTACCTGCGCTGCAACAGTGTGTGACCTGGTAGGAAACAGCTTGGTAACACATGCTGTATCAAACTCTGCCTCGGAAAGGCCAAATGCAGCTCGCAAAGCCTGCCCCTCCAGCGCCTACCACCACTGCATCAAATTCATGATCCACTACTGGATACTGAGCAGAAATCTGGAAAAGAAAAATTCACCTGTCAAGCACAGGTTCCACTATGCCAAACATGAAGACTCTTGTGCCAGTGAAAGAGCTTGACAAAGATAAAAGGAGCAACTGCTGGGCACACAGGGCCTCCATCCTGTCCTGGGGCTGAGCCCTGAACAGTGCAGGGAGAAGTAGGCACATTCGCACCTGGAGAAGGGACTGATAATCAGATTCTATGAATGGTAGAGGGTCTATTCCATGGGATCAGACTGAGGACCACAACTCTACTTCAGGGCCGTGCCTATGCTTATGCCTGAGAAGGTACCAAGGAGCATTCAGTCGCTATTGTGAGCTTATGAGAAAAGAACTTCTCAGCACGTTTCAGTTTTCCAACAGAGAGAGAACAGGCACACTCAATACCAAGGAACCCACACCGGAAGGGCCCCACGGTCCTCTTTTCAGTAGGATTTTATCATCTATCACAGCAGATACTGTTCATTTTAATTTATTGCTTTACTTGACCTAAATTTAAATCTAATTTATAGATACATAACAGATACAAGTAAAAATGTTAACATCTATGTTTATATTGGTACTTGCAATTAAGTATTATTACACTGAAAATAATTTCAGCATGCATTGGATACCTATGAGAAATTTTTCCCTTATGTCTATGACTCATATGAAAACAAACTGGTATAGATCCTTACCCCCAAGCCAAAAAAATCATTTATAATGGAACAAAAAGCATGAACTTACGGAATCTGAAACTTTAGCAGATGCCCTCTCGTTCCTTCAACAGTGAAGTGAACACCTCGGGTTCCTGTTTGCAACACTGTTGGCCACTGGAGACACAGAAGACACAGATCCAGAGGGTTAGTGTCCTGAAGGAACAAATGCTGTGGGGGATAGTAATTCAAACTTCCCCTTGAAAACTGTTCACCTTCTTATGTACCCAGGTGCTCCTGTGCATCCAGAGAGCTCAGCTGGGACCCTCTATTTAACCCTGAAGGGCAGCCCAAGGGGCAAGGAAGGACTGAGCCCCCAGGTCCTCCTTTCCACCCTGACTTGGCACTCTAGAAAACCAGGATGAAGCTTGTTTCCAAAAAGGATACTCACTGACTCAGATACGAGATGAAAAAGACGCACTTCCTCTGGGAAGTCTTCACTTATGCTACTTAGTGGAGGAGGGGAAAGACATCCAGATCGTATTACTGTATGTGGTATTTTGCAAATAATGAAGCATTTTAACCGGCTCCATCAGAGCCCTTTCCACATTACAGTTCCAATCGTCCAGGAGGGCTTGCGGTCAGTTCAAAAGGCACTGGACACCTGAATCAGGAGATCTGTATCCTGGAACAGTAAAGGCTGACAGCCCAGAGGGAAGAGGTGTCATCCCTTCATCACACAGGAGGATGTCGGATGCACACTCTCCCCTGCCTGGTTGATGCTGGCTTTTTCCTGGCCAACGTCTACAACTTGACATATCTCACTGCTTAAATTTTCCATCTTAGAAACCTTTACTCAAGAAAACTGGTTTTAGTGTTTAGTTTTTAGTGGCTCTGTGTGAGAGAGGTCACACTGTCCCATATGCTAAGGTTGGCCAGCCATTTAGGGGATACGTTTTCCATTCTGCTGGCGGCATTTTAGAAGACCACTGAATAGTCTCAGAAATATCATCAAGAATAGTTTTAGGGGCTGGGCGTGGTGGCTCATGCCTGTAATCCCAGCATTTTGGGAGGCCAAGGTGGGCAGATCACCTGAAGTCAGGAGTTCGAGACCAGTCTGGCCAACATGGCAAAACCCCCTCTCTACTAAAAATTAGCTGGTCGTGGTGGCGGGCACCTGTAATCCCAGCTACTTGGGAAGCTGAGGCAGGAGAATCGCTTGAACCCAGGAGGCAGAGGTTGCAGTGAGCCGAGACTGTGCCACTGTACTCCGGCCTGGGCGACAGAGCGAGACAATGTCTCCAAAAAAACAAAAGAAAAAAAAAAGCTTTAGGAAATTATGCACTCAGCAATCAGAAGAGGGGATGTGAGGGATGTCTTCAAGTATTTAGAAATACTTGCAATTCACAAATTACTTATTATGTGGGATAAAAAATTATTCTTCATTTCTCCAATTTCTAGTCTGTTTTTATTGACATAAGCTAATTTAGTTTTTTCTTTTTTCAGAAAATGAGAAAGAACGAATATTCTTCTACCTTAGTATAATTTTTTACATGGTAAAATCATATTTTAAGAAAGAAGTCTTTGAAATAATTTTAATAAAAACGTTCTTGAAAATTTTGTAAAGTGCCCTATTAACATAGGTAATAGCACCAATAAAAACAGTACATTATACCAAATGTAAGTAGAAACAGTGAGATCACTAAATGTTTATTCGTTCTTTCTAGGATGTTGATGTGGAATACACACTGCCCACTCCCCACCACACACACACACAGCTGCCTTAAAAGGGGCAGCTACTATAACACAATCTTGAACAAATCATCACGCCATCCCCCTGGGGAAAAGGACACTAACCCTCTGCATCTAAATCTCATCTGGGGCAGATTTTTGAATCTGGAAAGCCCAACTTCAAGCCAATGTCAGTCTTTAGATAAAACTCAAAACTACTTTTGACACAAAACTAGTCTTTTGTGCCAATTATTAATTTTTTAGGAGAAACTATCAAACATTTCCTCTAAGAAAAAACATGGGGAACATATAACTAAAAGGAATACTTAGACCTTGCTTAACAATACAGAATTTCAGATGACTGAATCAGGAGGTGGAGGGGGAAAAGTAACAAGTGCAGAGACATTCATATCCGAAATCTAGCAAAGTAAGGGGTCCTCATCGAATAAAATGCACCTATAAATCATGAGCAAGAAACGAATCTGCATGTACAGCCTACACAATCACAAAAGCAGCCAACGAAGAACCCAAAAACGCACGACTTTCTGTAGGAAAAGCTACCTTCATCAAGATAAAAAGACTTTTACAAAACCCAAGACTAAATTTTGGTTCCATTTTGCTATCTTGCCATCTGGTCTGAGGTGCCTGGGGCCTTAGTCTGCAGAAGGAACACTGGGCACCATCTGGGTTGGGGACAAAGGCACTGGCTCTATCTAGCTTCTCTCCAACCACAAGCTACCATTGCCCCTAAAAAGTCCCACTGACCATGGGCTTCACCTCCTGCTTGTGGACGCCCTCCCAGCAGCTCCTAAGAGCCCAAGATGCGGCGGGGGTCTCTGCTCAGTCAGCACCAACCACAGCAACACGCTAGAACGGTTTACACGCTTTCCGATGTTGACAGGATGGCTGTATGACTAATCCTCACATTTAATTCAAAGAGATTTTCAATAACTATTTCAAAAAGGAGAAAATTGCACAATCACAGGCATAATTCAAATCAATATTGCTGAATGCCTTGGTTCCTCTATTGAGATTTTTACTCTGCAATTTAAAATTACTTTGTAATTAAGAGGTGGGTGGCTAAGTTCATTTAAAAGAACCAAACAACTAAACCTATCCAATTTCGCTTGATTAAATGAAATCCTAGAAGGCCGATTCTGAAGATGCAATCGTAGAGGGCACATTCAGACACTCAGAGAGCAAGGGCTCAGGGAAGTATAACCCTGACCATCATCCTGGACTAAGCCGAGCCCGGCCCTCGAGGTACTCAGCGCACAGGCAAGCACAGGTCCTGGAGTCCTCGCTCGGTCAGTGCCCTGAGCTCTCCGTCTGATTTTTAAAAACTGGCACAGCTGCTTTTAAACACCGGCACATTTTTGTGGCACAAGGGCCACCAAACGGGACCCAAAGTACAGGTCCTTAACTTCCAAGATCCCGAAGTGGACATGCACAGATTTGCGCTCTCTGGAAAGGGGAACTGCAAGCCCAAGCTCGGGCGCGCCGCGCTTCCCACCGGACACCCACCCGGCCGAGCCCGGCCACTCCTCGCACCCACCCAGGCGGTTTCACCCGCCCCGCCGGCCCCACCCACGGGCTGCGGGCGGCCCCGCAGGACAACCCTCACAGAGGGCGGCAGAGGCCCGGCCCAGCCAGGACTCCACCCCGGTGACCTTGGGCAGACACGACTCCTCCCCGAGTCCACCCGCCAGGCAGAGGCGAGGGGCTACCTCAGCCCGCGAGGTCGCCGGACCCCAGGCCCGGACCAAAGCGGCGGAGGGGACGCCCAGCAAGCCCGCGGGGTCGCGACCTTCACCGGGACGCGGCCTACCTGCTAAGGACCGAGCTCCCCAGGCCCCCGAGTACACTCCGCGGCTCCCCCTCGCACCGGCCCAGGGCTCTCCCAGCCCCTTCCCGATCCCCGGGCAGGGGGCGCGGGCACCCGGCGCCCGCTCCGCTCGGACCCGCTGGGGACCGTCCCGCTCCTACCGCCGCCTCGCCCCCCGCCTGCCCTGCCCCGGTCCGCGGCAGGGACTCACCGCCTTGGCCAGCGCCAGCGCCAAGCGCCGAGCGCTTGGCAACCGCGACAGGCCCCGGACCCCCGACACGTCTGTAGTCGCCGCCGCGCAGTCCCGCCAGTCCCTGCGCAGACTGCGCCTGCGCACCACGGCCGGGTCAAGGCGGGGCGCTAGTGGGGGACATCGCGCCTGCGCACCACGACACGCCCGGGCAGGGGTCTAATGGGCGGGGACGCCGCGCCTGCGCAAAGCGGACCCGCGGACGGTGGCGCTGGGTGGCCACGGAGGTCCCGCGCTCCCCGACCGAGATAGGGCGGGCCCTATTTCGGGGAGATGTTGGGCACCAACATTTTTTAAAGCCCCGTGGGTGGTTCTCCGGGATCTCCCAGACCGAGAGGGCCTGAACGTCCAGACCTCAGGGAATGGGGTCGAAGGGGCGGCGCTCGTCCGCGGAGGTGGGCGGGAGCGGCCCGGGGCCTCCGGCCTCTAGAGAGCGGGAGTGACCCTCGGTTTCTGGCCTCCGAGGGGCGGGAGCGATCCTCAGCCATGTCCCTAGTGTCTGGCTTCCGGCTGATTTTTAAATTTTTGGTAGAGGCGGGATCTTGCTCTGTTGCCCAGGCTGGTCTCGAACTTGTGGCCTCAAGCGATCCTACCTCCTCGGCCTCCCCAAGTGCGGAGATTACAGACAGAGCCACTGCGCACGGCCGTGGTCAGCTTTGAAAGCTGGGTAGATCCCTTTGGCTCATACGCCTTTCTGCTAGCTTACCCTGATTCTGCTTCTGGTTCAGATAGTATTTTAATATTTCTAGTGTGTCTTTTTCTAAGATATCTGAAATCTTTTTGTGGAATGAAGTGGCATGAAAAATAAACCAATAATCATTAGTAAGTATGTTTCCTGTCTTTTCACTTTATTAAAATCTTCGTCTTGTGCATCATGTTTAACAATTTTATTTTAGTAAATTTGCAAGGGTTCAGTCCCATTTTACTGATATTTGGGTTGTTTCCCATTTTTGCTCTTAATAACACCATACAGAACATATTTGTGACCATAACTTTCTCTTTAGGATTATTTTTTTAGATGTATGCCCCAGACGTGACCTTTATTGGCTTGCAGGGAATGAACATCATACCTCCTAGACTTATTTTTTTAAAGTTACGCTGTTTTAGTCCTGGGTTAGTTACCTAATTTTGTTTGGTTTGAGACGGAGTTTCGCTCTTGTTGCCCAGGCTGGAGTGGAATGGCGGGATCTCGGCTCACCGCAACCTCTGCCTCCAGGGTTCAAGAGATTCTCCCGCGGAGCTTACAGTGAGCGGAGATGGCGCCACTTCACTCCAGCCTGGGCAACAGAGCAAGACTATATTGCTTTAATTTACTCTGCCGGCTATCTGGAGAGATGCAACCTCATCAGCAGAAATTATTTCCACCCTGCTGCTTTTTAAATGTTATTTCCTATAGCCAGGTACTGAGCCCTTCAATTGAGGTCTAAACCCTCCACCCTCTCCCTCCGGGATTGCCAAGCCTGTGGTTTCAGTTCCATGCTCCCAGGTAGATTGTGTCAACTCAAAGTCAATGCGCTTATGAAATACTTTTTGTGGTTTTTTTCTTAATTTTAAGAGGTTTTTTTTTAAAATATGTTTTTGTTTCATGGAGGCGACACCCTCTGTCTCTGAGTTGTGGGAGCCTTCCTCCTTCAGTCTGCATGTACTGAAGCCAGTGTTTGCCGTACCAGCCCCTCAGCCGCAGCAGCCCACAGTGAGGTGCAGGTGCTCACGCCATCGCCCCAGAGAGCTCCTCCATTCGCCCCTCCACCCGTAGCCCCTCGAAACCACTGCCCTGCTCCCCGACACGGTACACTGTCTTCTCCAAGATGTCATGTGTTGGCATCCTTTGGCCTGTGCCCACCGAAACTAGCTTCCTTCAACGGGCATGTAGCCTGGGAGACCTGGGGCATTTGGGTGCATCTTTCCACTGCTGGTTGGTGCCCCCTGTGTGGAAGCATCCGCGTTAGTTCACGCCTTCTCCTGCTCCTGCCGACGGACATTTTGTTTTCTTCCAGTTATTGGCAATGAGGAATGAGGCCTAAACACTTGTGTGCAGGTTTGTGTGTGCACGTTTAAGTTTTCCCTTGGGGGACATTTCAGCAGTGGGGTTGCTGGATGACATGGTAAGGATGTGCTTAACTTCGTAAGAAACTCCAGGACCACTTTCCAGCATGGCGGGACCCCTCCCATTCCCACTGCAGCTTATGAGGGTCCCAGTTCCTCTGCATCATCACTAGAACCTGGGTTGGCCCATGGGTTTTGTCTGTTTTTAGCCATTTTAATGGATTTGCAGAGGTACTGCTGACTGGCATTTCTCCAGCATCTCTATGATGTTGAGCCTCTTTCTCGGGCAATATGCCCTCCTTATACCTTCTTTGATGAGGCCTCCGTTCCAATATTGGCCCTCTCTTTAATACTGGGGTTTTTACTTTCTTATGGTTAAGTTTTGATGGTTCTTCATATATCCTGCGTGCCAGTAGGTTGTGAGACGTGTGATTCACAAATGTTTATTTCTAGACCATAGTTCATGTTTCATTCTCTTTGGATTTTTATATTGCTTTATAGAATTATAATTTTAAATTTATGACTAAATTTAATTTGTCAATCTTATGAATCATGCTTTTGGTGTCATGTCTAAGAACTTTTCGCCTAACCCCAGGCCATACGAATTTTCCCCTGTGTTTTTAGCTAAGGGTTTGATAGCGTTATGTTCTCCATTTAGGCCTTTAATAAATGTTGAGGAACATTTTGTGACCGCCATGGCCATACCTTTCTCCATCTCTCACGGTATCGTGGGCATTTGCAGCTCCCAGTGCGCCGTGCTGTTCCCGTCTTCTTGGTCTGCTCCTCCTGTCATACCTTTCTCCGTCTCTCACAGTATCGTGGGCGTTTGCAGCTCCCAGTGCCCCGTGCTGTTCCCGGCTTCTTGGTCCGCTCTTCCTGTGAGTTTCAGGGCACGTCTTAGTGCTGGCACTGTCCTGGTCCATCGGGGGTCCCATGAGCTTCTCCATGTGGGAAGGTTGGGACTGTGATGTTGACGGGATGCCCTGTGAGTCAGGAGGAGGTGCTGACGGGGGTTTCCATGTAGGAGAGAGAGGTGTTTGGTTTTCCGGATGGGGCAGACTTGAGAGGGGACAAACTTGAGAAATGCCACCAATGAGAAGGGCACGCACAGCAGGTCTCGGGGCCGCCCAGCCGTGTGGGAGACAAACGTGGATGTGTCAGTGGCCACGCCAGGAGGTAAACCCTCAACCAAGGGCCTCTGGGTGTCCAAGACCAAGTCTTGCTCAAGAGGTGTGTTCAGCTGAGCCAACCATGGCAGAAATGCATAAGGGAGATCCCACGGTTCCTCTGTTTAAATCCCCTGCTAATCCCACCAGACTCAGAGAAGCAGCCAAGTCCTCACAGCAGCCTGCAACCCCCGCCTGACTCGGCCTCCTCTTGGCTCTGATTCTCTGCACCCTTCTATCCCTGTCTCTTCTTCCATCAGAGAGGAGATCCGGCACGTTTATCCTGGTGGATTCAAACCCATCTTTGCCCCACATATAGTCACCGGAATGAATAGGTATAATCTAGAAAGAGTCCTTTTGAAAAAGAAAAAAGCAGGCCGGGCATGGTGGCTCATGCCTATAACCCTGCAGGGACCAGCCCCACAGGGTCGGTGGGTCTCTCCCTGTGTGCGGCGACGAGAGAGTGTAGAAATAAAGACACAAGACAAAGAGATAAGAGAAAGGGCAGCTGGGCCCGGGGGGCCACTACCACCAATGCGCGGAGAACGGTAGTGCCCCGAATGTCTGGCTGCGCTGTTATTTATTGGATACAAGGCAGAAGGGGCAGGGTAAAGAATGTGAGTCACCTGCAATGATAGGTAAGGTCACGTGGGTCACGTGTCCACTGGACAGGGGGCCCTTCCCTGCCTGGCAGCCGAGGCAGAGAGGGAGAGGAGACAGAGAGAAAGACAGCTTATGCCATTATTTCCGCATATCAGGGACTATTAGTATTTTTACTAATTTACTACTGCTATCTAGAAGGCAGAGCCAGGTGTACAGGATGAAACATGAAGGCGGACTAGGAGCGTGACCACTGAAGCACAGCATCACAGGGAGACGGTTAGGCCTCCGGATAACTGCAGGCGAGCCTGACTGATGTCAGGCCCTCCACAAGAGGTGGAGGAGCAGAGTCTTCTCTAAACTCCCCCGGGGAAAGGGAGACCCCCCCCCCTCCCCGCCCTTTCCCGGTCTGCTAAGTATCGGGTGTTGTTCCTTGACACCTTTTGCTATCCGCCTGGTAACAGGCATCTTCCCAGACGCTGGCATCACCGCTAGACCAAGGAGCCCTCTGGTGGCCCGGTCCGGGCATAACAGAAGGCTCGCACTCTTGTCTTCTGGTCACACCTCACTATGTCCCCTCAGCTCCTATCTCTGTATGGCCTGGTTTTTCCTAGGCTACGATTATAGAGCAAGGATTATCATAATATTGGAATAAAAAGTAATTGCTACAAACTAATGATTAATGATATTCATATATAATCATATCTAAGATCTATATCTGGTATAACTATTCTTGTTTTATATTTTATTATACTGGAACAGCTCGTGTCCTCTGTCTCTTGCCTCGGTGCCTGGGTGGCTTGCCACCCACATAATCCCAGCACTTTGGGAGGCTGAGGTGGGAGAATCACCTGAGGTCAGGAGTTTCAGACCAGCCTGGACAACATGGTGAAACCCCATCTGTAGTAAACATATAAAAATTAGTTGGGCGTGGTGGTGCGTGCCTGTAATCCCAGCCACTTGGGAGGCTGAGGCAGGAGAATCATTTGAACCCAGAAGATGGAGGTTGCAGTGAGCTGAGATCGCGCCACTGCACTCCAGCCTGGGTGGCAGAGTGATATTGTCTCAAAAACATAGTAATAGGAATAATAAAGGAAAAGTGCAAAAATTCAAACAACTTAACAGAAACTGGGCAAAAGAGCTGAACCGGCCCTCCACAGAAGAGGAAATGTGGAGGAATGGCTAATGAAAACATGAAGAGGGGCTCAGCCTAACAGGGGGAGATATCACGTGACAACCACCAGACGGGCAAAAATCCCACAACCCAATCCATGCCAGCGTTGGGGAGAATGGAGAGAAGCAGGAACACCAGGCACTGCTAACGCTTGTGAAGTATATTTCTGCTATGCTTGTATATGAAAGTGTGTGTGTTGTGGGTTATGAGGAAAATTACATTTTTACCTGGGATGAAATTTTAAAATTTGAAAGCTACTGACCAGAAGAAACTTGCGCTTGTGTACAAAAGAAATGCCCAAGAACGTTCCCAACAAAACACAGTCCTAAGGGCCCCAACCTGGCCAAACACTCATCCACGGGAAGATGAAGACATTTCCCATGCTCCCCTCAGACGACGGGAGACCATGCAGCAATGAAAATGAGCCATGTCAGTGTGGGTGGGTCTCAGGGAGAGAATGGAGGACAAAAATAGACACAGAGCAGGTGCTCAGAGCCATGCAGTGCAGGAGCAGCCACGCAGGAGAATTCCCTCACGTCAAAGTTCAAAACTACAGCCGAGGCAACAGAGCAAGACCCTGCCTCAAAAAGAAAACAGAAAGTTCAAAAACTAAATGGCATATCTTTTAGGGATGTACACACACGGTGAAAGAAACATACTATGAAGGAAAGTGTGCAAATAATAAAGACTAAAGCAGGAAGTGATTCCCTCCGTAGGAGAAGGGAAGGGACTGGGACTCAGGCAGGGCCTCCAGGGAGCATCCAAAGCTATGTCTCTTCAGATTCTACTCCCTAAACTTGGTGGAGGTCCTCTGTGTCCAATGTGTCAATATTCTTTATACCTTACCCATACTGTAAAAACGCTTTATTTCTATTCAATATTTAGAAGACAGTTATAAACAAGATGCATTCAATAGCATGGTGGCAGATGAACATCAGGAAGGAACATCCATGAGCTTCCATCCACGGAACCTCACCATGGATACGCTTGTGATCAAGGGCCTGGTCTCCCCTCAAGACACGGTCACAGATCAGAGGCCACACCATCCTAGCAGTGGAGCAGGACCAGCTGGGACAGGGTCCTTCTGTGACACCTGCTGCATCACCAGGCTGGGTGAACGGACACAATTGCCAGAACTCACAGAATAGAAGTATCAGCACCGAAACCTCACAGGAAAAATGGTAAGTTCTAAGTTTCTCCATTAATAGTAACTCTCAGATTAATCTCTGTCATCCATCGCTTCTCCAAGAAATGACTTTTTAGGGTGATGTGCCAGGCGCCATGTTGGAGGGCTGGTGGTAGCGGCTTGGGGAGGTGCTCACTCTGTCGGTCTCACTCTCTCACACGCTTCCCCGGCTCCCTTCGTTCCCCCCCACCCCACTTGGCCTGCGTGCTGGAGGGTGTGCGAGGGAGTGGGAGGACGTCGGGGGGTGGGGGGAGGCGTTCCGGTCCCCAAGAGACCCGCGGAGGGAGGCGGAGGCTGTGAGGGACTCCGGGAAGCCATGGACGTCGACAGGCTCCAGGAGGCGCTGGAAGATTTTGAGAAGAGGCAAAAAAGAAAGTCTGTCCTGTCCTGGATCAGTTCCTTTTGTCATGTAGCCAAGACTGGAGAAACAGATTCCGTGGTCCCAATTTAAAGGCTATTTTATTTTCAAACTGGAGAAAGTGATGGATGATTTCAGAACTTCAGCTCCTGCGCCAAGAGGTCCTCCCAACCCTAATGTCGAATATATTCCCTGTGATGAAACAAAGGGAAGAATACTGAAAAACTGTCACTGGATTTAACCGTATCCCTTTTACTATTCAGCGATTATGTGAATTGTTAACAGATCCGAGGAGAAACTATACAGGAACAGACAAATTTCTCAGAGGAGTAGAAAAGAACGTGATGGTTGTTAGCTGTGTTTATCCTTCTTCAGAGAAAAACAATTCCAATAGTTTAAATCGAATGAATGGTGTGATGTTTCCTGGAAATGCACCAAGCTATACTGAGAGGTCTAATATAAATGGGCCTGGGACACCCAGGCCACGTAATCGACCAAAGGTTTCTCTGTCAGCCCCCATGACAACAAATGGGTGGCCTGAGAGCACAGACAGCAAAGAGGCAAATTTGCAGCAAAATGAAGAGAAAACTCAGTGACTCTTCGACATCTGAATCAGAAGTTTCCTCAGTGAGCCCTTTGAGAAATAAACATCCAGATGAAGATGCTGTGGAAGCTGAGGGGCATGAGGTAAAAAGACTCAGGTTTGACAAAAAAGGCGAAGTCGGAGAAATAGCCAGTCAAGCGACTTGCAGCGAAATTTCTTCAGTTATGGTAGAAGAAACAGAAGCATCACCTTCATCTCATGATAAAGACAAAAAAAGCCATGGTACCCGGCAGCGCGTTCAGAAGAAGATGAAGATGAAGAGGAAGAAGAAGGGATTGAGAGACCATCTGTAAAAGGGAGGAGTAAGGAGATCCTCAAATTCTTGCATTCATTGTTTTTGTGAAAGAATTGTACATCATGGAACTCCTTGTAATGTCGACGCTGGGCTTTTCTCCCACCTGTATGCAGTTGCTGCTGAATTTCAGGGGATGTGATTTGAACTACAGAACATCAGAATTCACGAAACTTAACTGTGGAGGTATTTTGAATATAAAATTTAAGTACAACAACATTTGCTTATTTTTAGAGTCTTTTATGACATCAAGAGAAATGGTCCCAGAAAGAAAAAACCAAGAAAAAGAATCTGATGATGCCTCAACTGTGAATGAAGAGACTTCTGAGGAAAATAATGAAATGGAGGAATCTGATGTGTCTCAAGCTGAGAAAGATTTACTACATTCTGAAGGTAGTGAAAACGAAGGCCCTGAAAGTAGTGGTTCTTCTGACTGCCGTGAAACAGAAGAATTAGTAGGATCCAATTCCAGTAAAACTGGAGAGATTCTTTCAGAATCATCCATGGATAATGATGACGAAGCCACAGAAGTCACCGATGAACCACTGGAACAAGACTATTTAGAAACATTTACATGCAGTATTTTACACACAGTTCTGGTTTTAACACTGTATAAAACTTTTATGTAAAAAAGTGCACCTTTAGTTTTATAAGAAAAGCAGGTTGTAAAATAAAGTACTTTATGGATAATTCCTGAAAGAGTTGTCCATGTAAGAACTGTGAATATCAGCTCCTCTGGGTCCTGCTTACCTTACCGCTGATTTCTTTTTCTTTCTTTCTTTCTTTCTTTCTTTCTTTCTTTCTTTCTTTCTTTCTTTCTTTCTTTCTTTCTTTCTTTTCTTTCTTTCTTTCTTTCTTTGGTCTGGGCAAATCAGTGGTTTGTGTATAGATTTTTTTTTTTAATTTAGGATTAAAGTTTTTAAACTGGAAAGTAATTATAATTTTGAACAGTTTTTTGAGATTATCACATTTAGTTTATACATATGCAAGAAGCTTTTTGTCTTGTGTCTTTCTGATAGCTCCAGCAGTTTTCATATTTTGGTCATAGTTTCAACATTTTAACATGTGAATAATAGAGTTTCATGCTGGTTTCCAGATTTTATTGTTCGGATACATACAATAGAACCTTAAGTTTTATATATATATATATATATATATATATATATATATATATATATATATATATATTCTAAGGGGGAAAATGTTATATTTTTCTGTTTGTATAAGAGATAAATACAGTGGATACTTTTTCTATTGGTAATGACTGAGTTCACCTCTTTCAGAAGACATTTTCTTTCTCTTCTGAGTAACTGAAATAAAATCTGGCCTCTGTGAAACCCTGGAAATACCACGACCCTCAACTAGAAACACCAATACCAGCTCCTCCGCGAGTTTCCAGCTCCACAACCTAAGACATCAGAGGCAGCATTGGTTCCTCACGTAGAGTCCAGCTCCGGGACCCTCATATTTGAACCGCAGGGCCATCTCATCCCTGGATCTCCAGCTGCACCACACTCAAATTAGAACAACATCAGTTCCTCCCCAGGTCTCCACCTGCACAGCCCTCGAAAGGGAATGTCAGCTCCTCCCCGGGTCTCCAGCTGTAGGGCCCTAAAACTAGAACATCAGCTCCCGCCTGGGTCGCCAGCAGCACCACCCTCAAACTGGAACATCAGATCCCCACGGGTCTCCAGCTGCAGGGCCCTCAAACTGGAACATCAGCTCCCCACCAGATCTCCAGCTGCACGGACCTCAAACTGGAACATCAGCTCCCCGCCGGGTCTCCAGCTGCACTGCCTGCAAACTGGAACATGAGCTCCCTGCCCGGTCTCCAGCTGCATGGCCCTCAAACTGGAACATCAGCTCCCCACCAGATTGCCAGCTGCACGGCCCTCAAACTGGAATATCAGCTCCACCCCGGGGCTCCAGGTGCACAGCCCTCAACCTGCAACATCAGCTCCCCACTGGGTCTCCAGATGAATGGCCCTCAACCTGCAACATCAGCTCCCCACCGGGTCTCCAGATGCATGGCCCTCAAACTGGAACATCAGCTCCCCACCGGGTCTCCAGCTGCATGGCCTTAAACTGGAACATCAGCTCCGAGACCCTCAAACAGGAACATCAGCTCCCCACAGGGTCTCCAGCTGCACAGCCCTCAAATTGCAACATCACTTCCCCCCTGCATGTCCAGCTGCACCGCCTCAAACTGCAACATCAGCTCCCCGCTGGGTCTCCAGCAGCATGGCCCTCAACCTGGAACATCAGCTCCCCCCAACCCGGGTCTCCAACTCCACAGCCCTCAACCTGCAACACTGGCTACCAACTGGGTCTCCAGATGCATGGCCCTCAAACTGGAACATCAGCTCCACCCCCGGTATCCAGCTGCACAGCCCTCAAACTGGAACATCAGCTCCCTGCCGGGTCTCCAGGTGCACGGCCCTCAAACTGGAACATCAGCTCCCCACCAGGTCTCCAGCCGCACGGCCCTCATACTGGAACATCAGCTCCCCACCAGATCTCCAGCTGCACAGCTCTCAAACAGGAACATCAGCTCCCCACAGGGTCTCCAGCTGCACGGCTCTCAAACAAGAACATCAGCTCCCCACAGGGTCTCCAGCTGCACGGCCCTCAACCTGCAACACTGGCTCCCCACCGGGTCTCCCGATGCACGGCCCTCAAACTGCAACATCAGTTCCCCCCGGGCATACAGCTGCATGGCCTTAAACTGGAACATCAGCTCCCCGCTAGGTCTCCAGGAGCACGGTCCTCAAACTGGAACATCAGCTCCCTGCCAGGTCACCAGCTGCATGGCCCTCAAACTGGAACATCACCTCCCCGCCAGGTCTCCAGCTGCATGGCCCTCAAATTGCAACATCAGCTCCCATCAGAGCCTCCAGCTGCATGGCCATCAAACTGGAACATCAGCTCCCCCGCGGGTCTCCAGCTGCACAGACCTCAAACTTGAACATCAGCTCCCCGCCGGGTCATCAACTGCATGGCCCTCAAACTGGAACATCAGCTCCACCCCTGGGTCTCCAGTAGCACGGCCCTACAACTGGAACATCAGCTTCCCCCTGGGTCTCCGGCTGCACAGCCCTACAACCGGAACATCAGCTCCCTGCCGGGTCTCCAGCTGCACAGCCCTCAAACTGGAACATCAGCTCCCCGCTGAGTTCAAACTATTCCAGTTTGAGGGCCGTGCAGCTGGAGACCCGGCGGGGAGCTGATGTTCCAGTCTGAGGGCCGTGCAGCTGGAGACCCGCGGGGGAGCCGAACTTCCGGTTTGAGGGCCATGCAGCTGGATACCCGGTGGGGAGCTGAAGTTCCAGTTTGAGGGCCGTGAAGCTGGAGACCCGTTGGGGAGCTGAAGTTCCAGTTTGAGGGCCGTGAAGCTGGAGACCCGGTGGGGAGCTGATGTTCCAGTCTGAGGGCCGTGCAGCTGGAGACCCAGTGGGGAGCTGATGTTCCAGTCTGAGGGCCGTGCAGCTGGAGACCCGGTGGGGAGCTGAACTTCCAGTTTGAGGGCCATGCAGCTGGATACCCGGTGGGGAGCTGAAGTTCCAGTTTGAGGGCCATTCAGCTGAAAGACTTGGGGAGAAGCTGATGTTCCAGTTTGAGGGCCGTGCAGCTGGAGACTCGGGGATAGCCGATGTTGCAGTTTGAGGGCCGTGCAGCTGGAGACCCGGGTGGGAACCGATGTTCCAGTTTGGGAGCCATGCAGCTGGAGGCACTGCGGGGAGCAGATGTTCCAGTTTGATGTTCCTCCCTGGGTCTCCAGGTGCACGGCCATCAAACTGGAACATCAGCTCCCCGGCCCTCAAACCGGAACATCAGCTCCCCGCCGGATCTCCAGCTGCACAGCTGTCAACATCAGCTCCTCCCCGAGTCCTCAGCTGCACGACCCTCAAGTTAGAACATCAGCTTCTCCCCAAGTCTTCAGCTGCGTGACCCTCAATCTAGAACATCAGTTCCTCTACAGGTCTGCAGCTGCAAGACCCTCAATCTAGAACGTCAGCTCCTCCCTGAGTCTCCAGCTGAAACACCCTCAAAACGAACAACATCAGCTCCTCCCTGAGTCTTCAGCTGCACGACGCTCAATCTACAACATCAGCTCCTGTCTGGTTCTCCAGCTGCACGACCCTCAAACTACAACCTCAGCTCTTCCCCGAGTCTTCTGCTGCATGACCCTCAATCTAGAACATAAGCTCCTCTCTCGGTGTCCACCTGTAGGGACCTCAAATTAGAACGTCAGCTCCTCCCAGAGTCTTCAGCTGCATGACCCTCAATCTTTAACATCAGCTCCTCTCCGGGTCTGCAGCTGCATGACCCTAAAAATACACGAGCAGCTCCTCCCTGAATCTTCAGCTGTACGACCCTCAAACTACAACATCAGCTCCTGTCTGCATCTCTAGCTGCAGGGCCCTCAAACTAGAATATCAGCTCCTCCCCGATTTTTCACCTGCATGACCCTCAAACTAGAACATCAGCTCCTGTACAGATTTCCAACTGTAGGGCCCTCAAACTAGAACATCAGCTCCTCCCCAAGTCAGCAGCTGCAAGACCCTCAAATTAGCAACTCAGCTCCTCCCGGAGTCTTCAGCTGCATGACCCTCAATCTCGAAGATCAGATACTCTCCGGGTCTTCAGCTGTAGGGCCCTCAAACTATAACATCAGCTCCTCTCCGAGTATTCAGCTGCACGACCCTCAATCTCGAACATCAGCACCTCTTCAGGTCTGCAGCTGTAGGGCCCTCAATCTAGAACATCAGCTCCTCCCTGAGTCTTCTGCTGCACGACCCTCAAACTAGAATCTCAGCTCCTCCCAAGTCTTCAGCTGCACGACCCTCAAACTAGAACCTCAGCTCCTCCCTGAGTCTTCAGCTGCATGACCCTTAATCTAGAACATCAGCTCCTCCCCGAGTCTTCAGCTGCACGACCCTCAATCTAGAACATCAGCTCCTCTCCAGGTCTGCAGCTGCAAGACCTTCAAACTAGAACATCAGCTCCTCTCCAGGTCTGCAGCTGCAAGACCTTCAAACTAGAACATCAGCTCCTCCCCGAGTCTTCACCTGCATGACCCTCAAACTAGAACATCAGCTCCTCTCCAGGTCTCCAGCTGCACGACCCTCAAAGTAGAACATCAGCTCCTCTCCGGGTCTGCAGCTGCAAGATCCTCAAACTAGAACATCAGCTCCTCTCCAGGTCTGCAGCTGCAAGACCCTCAATCTAGAACATCAGCTCCTCTCCAAGTGTGCAGCTGCACGACCCTCAATCTAGAACATCAGCTCCTCTCCAGGTCTGCAGCTGCAAGAACCTCAAACTAGAACATCAGCTCCTCTCCAGGTCTCCAGCTGCACGACCCTCAAACTAGAACATCAGCTCCTCTCCGCGTCTGCAGCTCCACGACCCTCAATCTAGAACATCAGCTCCTCCCCGGGTCTTCAGCTGCACGACCCTCAAACTAGAACATCAGCTCCTCCCTGGGTCTGCAGCTGGAAGATCCACTAACTAGAACATCAACTCCTGTCTAGGTTTCCAGCTCCATGACCCTCAAT
This sequence comes from Homo sapiens, assembly GCF_000001405.40. Taxonomy (NCBI): domain Eukaryota; kingdom Metazoa; phylum Chordata; class Mammalia; order Primates; family Hominidae; genus Homo; species Homo sapiens. The sequence goes on from NT_187688.1 coordinate 147,817, forward strand.
CAAGATTATCAGCTCCTCTCTGAGTCCCCAGCTGAAAGACCCTCAACGTGAACAACATCAGCTCCTCCCGAAGTCCTCAACTGCATGACCCTCAAACTACAACATCAGCTCCTCCCCGAGTATTCAGCTGCATGACCCTCAATCTAGAACATCAGCTCCTCTCTGACTCTGTAGCTGGAAGATCCACTAACTAGAACATCAGCTCCTGTCTGGGTCTCCAGCTCCATGACCCTTAATCAAGATTATCAGCTCCTCCCTGAGTCCCCAGCTGAAAGACCCTCAACACGAACAACATCAGCTCCTCCCAAAGTCCTCAACTGCATGACCCTCAAACTACAACATCAGCTCCTCCCCGAGTCTTCAGCTGCATGACCCTCTATCTAGAACATCAGCTCCTCCCCGGGTCTGCAGCTGCACGACCCTCAATCTAGAACATCAGCTCCTCCCCGGGTCTGCAGCTGCACGACCCTCAATCTAGAACATCAGCTCCTCCCCGGGTCTGCAGCTGCACGACCCTCAATCTAGAACATCAGCTCCTCCCCGGGTCTGCAGCTGCACGACCCTCAATCTAGAACATCAGCTCCTCCCCGGGTCTGCAGCTGCACGACCCTCAATCTAGAACATCAGCTCCTCCCCGGGTCTGCAGCTGCACGACCCTCAATCTAGAACATCAGCTCCTCCCCGGGTCTGCAGCTGCACGACCCTCAATCTAGAACATCAGCTCCTCCCCGGGTCTGCAGCTGCACGACCCTCAATCTAGAACATCAGCTCCTCCCCGGGTCTGCAGCTGCACGACCCTCAATCTAGAACATCAGCTCCTCCCCGGGTCTGCAGCTGCACGACCCTCAAGGTAGAACATCAGCTCTTCCCCGAGCTAAAACACCTCTCCCACCTGGATCTCCAGCTCCACGAGTCTCACAGAACAGCCACACTGGCTCCTTCATTGTCTTCAGCTCCACAACCTAAGACATCAGTGGGAGCACTGGCTCCTCCCTGGACCTCCAGCTCAACGACTCTCATAGACTTAAAAGGCAGCACCTGCTCCTCCCCAAGGCTCCATCTCCACCACCCTCAGATTTGAACAGCGGTAGCACCACCTCCTCTCCAGGTCTTCAGCCCCATGTCCCTCCCTGAACAATCCCTTCTCATGAAATTCAGCAGTCAAGAAATCTGCAGCGGAAGTAAATGAATAAACGTTTTGTTTTCAAATTGATATCTCTTTTATGTTCATGAATTAACTTTTCTACTTTCCATTAGCCTTGCAATCTACTTATGTCCAAGGTGAAACAGAAACACACCATTTGAAATCACGTTTAAAAACTTAGTAATGTTTTTCAATAAAATCATCACACAGCTGTAGACATGATCTTATTTCTCTCTGCCTGTGCAGAAGTCTTATGAAAATTCAAACTATGAATTTACTTTGTTGAGATTCCCAGAATACACATTAATCCCAACTGTTACTCCCCTCCTTAAAATCTTTTAACACATTCCCATCACCTGAGCATAAATGCCAGCTCCCATCCACAGCCCGAAGTGCCCAGCACGGCCCTGCCCTCTGCCCTGGTCTATGGTCTCCCCTCTTAAATGCCAGCACCATCCACAGCCCACAGTGCCCAGCACGGCCCTGCCCTCTGCCCTGCCCTCTGCTGTGGCCTAAGGTCTCTCCCCGGTGCCGTTCCCTTCCTGACGGACAGGCCTCTGTCCGTTCCTCAAACCACACAGGCTCAGGCCTCACTCCAGGCCTTTGCGCTTCTGTGCCCTCTGCCTAGGGTGCCTTTCCCGGGCTCTGCATCCTCCTCTCAACCCACTGAGCTCCAGCCTGCTGGTCGCCCCTCAGGTGGATGAATACACGGTGTCCTCTCACCCCACCAGCTTTTGCACAGGCTCTTCTCTGTGCCAGACAAACACCCTATCGGGGTTTACTCTCTAAATACCATTCATCCTTGGAGTCTCCACTGAAATATCGCTCCCTGCCCACCCCCCTCACTTGGACTTAACCTTGGTTAGGTTGCCAACCCCCGTCTCCTGACTCCGGGAAGCTAGATGCTCTCCTAGCACTCGGAACTTGCCCATTGCCACATTTGCACACCCGTGGTTACTGGGTTAGGTTGGCGCACAAGTCATCGCGGGTTTTGCCATTACTATTAATGAACGGCAGCAACGGCTCCTCCCCGTTTCTTTTGTTTTTTTTTTCGCCATTACTTTTAATGACTGCTGCACCAACCTATTAGAATCATTTATATTTATCCATCCATCATCTGCCTTCCCCTCTAGAAAGGAAGCTCCATGAGAATAGAGGCCAAATCTACTCAAATCACTCCACCTTCCCAGCACATTGTTTGTCAATAATCATTTACCAACTGACTGATAGAGAAATGCCTTCCCTGTTGCTGGGATGAGGCACATGACACGCCCCTTTGAAAGTCAATTCCATGGACAGTTAGCATTTGCTCTTCACTCCTGCACCCGTGGCGTGGCTGGGCTTAGGCTGATCTAGTCTGGCCTTGACTCCAGGCTAAGGATGGGAACCATGACTGCTCCACACGCCTCTCATCCCACAGCCAGAGCCGCCGTTCCCTGGGGCACGTGCATCTCATGGGGAAAATCAAGAGCCTTAGACGGCAGGCCTGGCAGTGCCCACACATTCCAGGCTTCTGCTTGTGCCGTGTCTGTGAAAATCTCGTTGGCAGAAGCAAGTCACCCAGCCACGAGCAACACCTATGGGACGGATAAGTCCATCCACCCTCCCTCGGGCCCTGGCAAGGTTGTGGCTATGTCATACTCTTACGGGGGGAGTGAAAAATTGAGGCCCAACATTAAATCACCCACGCGAGAAATGTCAGCCTCTGTCCCCACGCTGGAATCATTTTTCACCAGCGGGTTTGCCTGAATTCCCTTTGCAATGGTGTCTGCAGGTTTAGCCCAATGCTGGTCCCCGTGGAGGACACAGAAGCCTCAATGGGCCTCCGTCTGTTGGGAAGAACAAGATATTAGCTTGGCGCAAAACCACCGCAAGCCCCAGGAGGCCCTTGTGCCATGAGACAGGAGAGGGGCAGAGAACTGTGGGAACTCAGGAAAGCTCACATCCCCAGCCCCTCCCGTGCATCCCCAGCCCCTCCGCTGTGACCCCAGCACCAGCCCTCTCCCCTGCTTGCCCCATCTCTGCTTTCTTTTTTTCATTTTCTTTCTTTCCTTGTTTTTGAGACAGGGTTTGGCTCTGTCACTCAGGCTGGAGTGCAATGGCACGATCTCAGCTTACTGCAACCTTCACCTCCTGGGCTGAAGCAATTCTCCCTCCTCAGCCTCCCCAGTGGCTGGGACTACAGGTGCACGCCACCATATCCAGCTAATTTTTTTTTTTTTATTTTGGTAGAGACAGGATTTGCCATGTTGCCCAGGCTGGTCTCAAATTCCTGAGCTCAAGTAATCCTCCCACCTCAGCCTCGCAAAGTGCTGGGATTACAGGCATGAGCCACCGAGTCCAACCTACTTTATTTTTCTCTACAGTACTTGGAACCTTCTAATGTACTAAGGACACGTGTATTTTCTTTCTTTTTTGTCTTCCCTAGAACAGGAGCTTAATGTGGGCAGGTATTTTTGTTGATCTCATTTATCACCCTCTCCCCAGTTCCTGGAACAGGGTCTGGCACATGAATGGTGTGTTCTAAATAAATATTTTTAATAGATAAATAAATGAAATATCCTACAAGAGAAAGCTATATCTGGAACTCACCCATCAACAGAACCTAAAAGCCAAAGACCTTTAGCCTGTCTCTGCCTCTGAACACACCCAACCCCGGAGGAGCCAGCAGAGGAAAAAGAGGAACAAAGGCGGGGAAGGGAGCAGGTGGTGCCCACCAAGCAAGGAACCCTGAGGCTTAGGCCGAACCTGAGCTGGAGAAGGGACTCATCTAGGAACTGGGTATGAGATTAAAGTTTAGATTGGTCTGGCCTGGATTTTGTAACACCTAAACAAGAGTTATTCTATTCTTTTTTTGTTTTTTTTTTTTGAGATGGAGTCTCACTGTCCCCCAGGCTGGACTGTAGTGGCGCTATCTCAGCTCACTGCAACCTCTGCCTCCCAGGTTCAAGTGATTCTCATGCCTCAGCCTCCCGAGTAGCTGGGATTACAGGCGCACACCACCATTCCCGGCTAATTTTGTATTTTTAGTAGAGATAGAGTTTCACCATGTTGGCCCCCGGCTCACGCCTGTAATCCCAGCACTTTGGGAGGCCGAGGTGGGTGGATCATGAGGTCAGGAGATTGAGACCATCCTGGCTAACACGGTGAAACCCCATCTCTATTAAAAATACAAAAAATTAGCTGGGCGTGGTGGCAGGTGCCTGTAGTCCCAGCTACTCAGGAGGCTGAGGCAGGAGAATTGCTTGAACTCCAGATGCAGAGGTTGCAGTGAGCCAAGATCAATGCCACTGCACTCCAGCCTGGGTGACAGGGCAAGCCTTCATCTCAAAAACAAACAAACAAACAAACAAAAAACCTTCAAACGAATGTAAGAATTATTATTTTTTAAAGTACAACTTTAAAAATGCCCCTTACAAATACATCAGTGTTATATTAAGGGAAACCCACTTCAGAAGCACAAAGTTAATTTCTTATAATTCCAAGAAATATGTGAATGTTAAAAAAAACCCAAACACCCGAAAAGGGATCAATCTCAAGATAGTTTGTAACATTTTATTGCAAAAAGAAGGGCAGAGAACAGTCTTCTTCATACCTGTTCACCGTAATAATTTTTAGCAGCTCTCCTGTGCAAAGAAGTCTCATCAATCAATCAGCATACGGGCCACAAATACCTTCTCAGTGCGGTTTCACCTACAATACAAGCACTCAGAAGCACAAATTTAACTGAAGTGAGAAACCAGGCCATTTTGTAGCTTCAGTTTTTCTACCAGTAATATATTAATTTCTTGAAATAGCCTAATAATTTAGTTCTACTATCAAAACAGAAGCCCAATCTGGGAGAACAATTATTATACAAGTCAAACTAATTTCAATCATATTAGTATAGGAATTCATATTAGTATAGGCTAATAATTCATATTAGTAGAGGCGGGAGGATCGCTTGAGCCTAGGAGTTTGAGACCAGCCTGGGCAAGACAGTGAGACTCCATCTCTAATTTTTTTTTTAAATAAAGAAACTCAGAGAGGAGAAGGAAGCGGATTGATATGTGTCTATCCAAGCACAAATTTTGTGTGCCTGTACATACAACACGACTATGAACCTTCCTTCACGCAGCTCACAATCTAGTAGCGAGAGAAAAGTACGAAAACATGAGCCCCCACGATGAGGAAAAAGGCGCATATCAGAGAAAAGAAAAATGCTGCGATGATCCAATGGCAGGAGCAGCGCGCATCCACTTTCTTTGTTTTTTTGAGATGGGGTTTCGCTCTGTCTCCCAGGCTGGAGTGCCGTGGCTTGATCTCAGCTCAATGCAGCCTCAACCTCCCAGGCTCAAGTGATCTTCCCATCTCAGCCTCCCAAGTAGCTGGAACTACAGGCGTGCACCACTACACGTTTACTTTTTGTAGAAACAGGGTCTCACAATGTTGCCAAGGCTGGCATCCTGAAGGGCGGGTGGGGCTTCATCCTACAGAGATGAAAGGCAGAAGAAGCTCAGAGCCCAAAGCAAAGGGGTGGAGGACAAGGGCATCTTCAGAACAGAGTGGCTCAGCTGAGACATCCAGTAGGATGCCACCAGGCAGAGGTGTGGTGGAAAAACACAGGGCCACAGGGTGAATGCTCACATGTGAGGAGCAAACCACCACAGAACACAACAGAAACACGGTGTACTAAATCAGGCTTCAAATCGCAGCCCTGCAACTTCAGAGCTACCACAGGTAACCCAGAAAGGGAGCACGGACAGCACCGCCCACTGCCTGAGGCTATGAGATGGACCAGAAACCTGTGCTTACTAACAACCTGCCTTATTCCAGAAGGAATTCAGGAAACACAAAGACACTCACAGTACAGCAAAATAAAGTAAATGTGAATCATGTTGGCTGAGGAGAAAGTGAAGAGTCTAAGACTATGTCATAAAGTTTACCTCTACTCTAAACTCTCATTACTGGTGAGCCACCAATCTGACTTTAAGTTTTCTAGCAGCTAAATTGAAGAGGAAAATGTAATCAGGTAAAGGTTTATAAGATGCAAACAAAACAGGACAGCCACCACAGTTTCTGAGAAGACGCGCAGCTCCAGCTCCAGGAGAAACAGGGTGGCCATCTCCTGGGGCTGCCCCGCAGCAGGTGTGTCAGCCCCAAAGCCAGCGTCTCTCAGGGTGAACGGTGACTATGGGCTTCATGGGGCCACACACCTCCAGTACAAGCTGAGGAAATCTCCCAGGGCAATTCAAGGAACAGGGTCTCACAATGTTGTCCAGGCTGGTCTCAAACGATCCCCCTGCCTCGGCCTCCCAAAGTGTTGGGAGGTCAGACGTGAGCCACTGCATCTGGCCCCGCATGCACTTTATAGAGGAGGGCTTTGCATCCTGAAGGGCGAGTGGGGCTTCATCCTGCAGAGATGAAAGGCAGAGGAAGCTCAGAGCCCAAGGTAAAGGGGGGCGCCTAACAAAAGCGACTCCATTGGGACCACGGTGAGAGGGTCCCCATACACAGCTTGGGTTAAGCCAGACACTGATTTCAAAGTATCTCAGGAATGGTGGACTCAGCACCTGTCAGGCAATTCTCTCTCTCAAGCAGGCTCCTGGTAGATATTTAGTAGCAGCTGAAATCAAGATTATGTTCTGACTGACACTTGCTGAGGGTTAAAGAGCTATATACGCTTTGAGGACCAGCTGAACTGGGGCAGGACTAACACCCTCTGGTGAAAATACGGGAACCCAAACACACGAGTCAGAGCAGGAGGTGTCTCCCCCACCTCCAAACAATAACGCTGACCTTGGATTTGGGTTAAGTGCCTAGCCCAGGGGTGTGAGTGTTCAGGAAGTGGAAACCATCATCACCATCATCAGGTAATGGAAAACCATCAAAGCTTTGAGCTGGCTTGTTAGCCAAGAATAGTAGTAGTGTATTAGCTACTACTAATACTCACAGCTGACAATTACTGAGCACTTGCTCCGTGCCAGGAATCACGGAGGCACCTCGCATGCATTTCCTCAATACTCCCTCCCAGTAACGGCGAGGACACAAAACTGGTAGAGCCAGGACTGGAATCCAGGCAGGCCCCAAGGCACTCCAGTGGAGCCTGCCAAGGAGGGCAGGCTACCATGCTAATGAGGTCCAGTATTTGACCACCACTCCTAGTTGAGCAAATTAACAGAAAACCTAAAACTAAACTTAAAATCTAAAAATTTGAGCAAATGCATAAAAAGCAGCTGTTAAAATGGATCATAAATCTTGCATCACTCGCTGGAAAACCACTCAAAATAAACGTCTCTGAGACATGGCCTCTGAGGAGGGCACTCCGTGTGGCTCGTATCACCCTGGTGACAAACCACGTGAACCTGGGTGGTCACCTGACCATATTGAACAGACGATGCACAGAGCCATTTGCATCCACTGTGGTCAACATTTAGGAAGTTTTAAGCTAAGATTTGCCAAATTGTAGCCTACTGGATTCCGGGTTCTCTTGACATCTCTTTCTAGTCGCCATGTCTTGCACTTCCCGAGTATAAATAAACTGAGATGCAAATAAAAAAAGGAGGATTTAAGAATAATGAAAAGAGAAAAATCAAGAAAGCACAATCACTAGTGTAGAGATAACAGAATTTCTGAATTCCCTGAAAACAATCTATATAAATGCATGTGAAATAATACACCAGCATCTGTGGCCCATACGTCACATATTAGGAACTGATAACATAAGGTAAACATGTTACTCTGAAAACACAAATCCTCACAAATCATTAGGCAGTAAGACTGAATCCAGCACCTCCCCCCCCACCACCCACAGCGCAGTGAGGCAGTGTCTAGCAGCCGTAGTGCTCCCCGCGCCCCAGTTCAGTCTCTGGCAACATCAGATACTTCCCACTAATAACGAGGAGCCTTTCAACATTTTCACAACATCTCAAAACTGACCCCTTTTCTAGCTTAAATGGCACGGATCTGGAAAGGCAAACTATACACAGAATCAGAAAAGATGACTGCCCCTGAGGGATTACAGAAAAAGCAGCAGTCAGGTGTTCAATGAAGTAAAATGTATCCAATGATAGCTCAGGGGAGGGGGATCAATTGAGCTGAAACTGGCAAGAACGTAACTCCAGGGAGCTCACAACACGCCAAGGACCCAGATTTCCCGCTGCCTGAACGCCCAATATTCGCACACTGATAAGAACGCCTCCCCATAACTCCCCTGCCAGCGCCTCCAACACCCCCAATCCTTTCCCCAGGAACCCAGTCCCAGTTTCTGCAGTTCCTGTAACAGCCACGTTCCCACACAAGTGCTGCCTGAGCTCCCCAAGCCCTCCAACAATCACCCCCCAGTGCCCTCGAAGGTCTATTCAGAGAAGTCACCAAGATGCAGTCACCCAGGAAATTCAAGGACCCCCAACTTACCAAAAGGCTTTCGGCTGGACAGAGCTAACCTTCCTATTCCCCTCCTAAACCTACAACCTAGTTTTCATTTCTCAAGAAGCCTTTCCCTGCGCTCACGCACGCCGTTGTTAGCTGGCTCGGTGAGGCACTCCAAGCAGTAACAGCGGTAGCCACAAAATAAACCAGAAGCATCTCCACCATGAAGCAGTAATAATTTGTCCTAATGATTCCTTTGTCCTTGGAAAATCAACTTCAGAAAGAAAGTTATCCACTGTGAGCAGGGCAGGCTCGCGGCTTCTTGGTCCGGAGACCCAGGTCCCACTGGCCCACTCACCCTTGGAGAGAGCTTGCTGAAGCTGGGTGTCCGATATCACTCCACTCCTCTCTATCAACCCTATAACATCAAGAAGACCAAACAAGCTGGCGATCGAAAGTTCAGGAAAAGCAAAACAAACGTCTCCTGTCAACCCTGCACCGACTCTGGAAGGCTCCCTCCTGGAACCTCCGCCTCTCCGGTCCCGCTGAGGAGTACAGCGGAATCAAGGAAGTGCCCCAGGAGCCACGTCCAAGTGTGTTCTTCCCCTAAGAGGACAATCATCTTTCTCTCTCTTTTCCCACCTCAATCCTTCCCTTCCTTCCCCTCCTGACCTGTCTGAATTCCCATTTGCACCAGTTTCCCTTTTTCACAGACAAGACAAGATTCCCTCAGATAACTAAGCCATTCCCTGGCCATGAGTTACTACAGTTTCGGTCATTCATTCAGTGGAAAAGCGACCAGGGACAGAAGGCGCCGCCATAAAGGTCACCTGGCCCGAGCAGACGCCAGGTCGCTGCTTCTTCCTTGGCTGCTGACATTTTAACAGCGGCCCAGACAGTCTGTTTCCGCTTTCCCCAAACAAGCACCCTGGAGACCCTCCCCCGACGGCTCGAGGCGAGAAACGGGGCCTGGCCCAGGAGCCGGTGGCCGCGACCTCGGGTCTGCAGTGGCGCCCTCTGCACCTTGGGAAGCGCCCGACGCACAGGACAGGGACCGGGCAGGAGGCAGGGGCGGCCCCAGGAGACCGGGCAGCGGACGGGGGAGACCGCGGGGGACCCGGAAGGGGATGGGGGCGGCCGCGGGGGTCGGGGCAGGGGATGGGGGCGGCCGCGTCGGTCGGGGTAGGGTTCGGGGGCGCCCGCGGGGGTCCGGGCAGGGGCGGGGGAGACGGCGGAGGTCGGGGCAGGGGACGGGGGAGGCCGCTGGGGACCCGGCAGGTGACGGGGGAGGCCGCGGGGCAACCGGCAGGGAACGGGGTTGGCCGCGGGGGTCGGGACACGGGTCCGGGGCAGCTGCGGGGGAGGCGGGAGGTGCCGGGGCGGTGCCAGGTGGCAGCTCTGGAAGACGTTCCACAGGAAGCTCTGGTCGGGCAGCGCCGCGCCCGCAGCAGGCCCAGGGCCGCCCAAGGCCGGGGCGGTAGGAGTAGGCGGCCAAGGGCCAAGGCGCGCGGCTGGGCTGAGGCACCTGCGGCCACGGGCGACCTCAGAGCGACTGTGCTTCCGCCTCTGCCGGGGGCAGGGCCAGGCGTTACCGCCGCTTCCGGGGGCGCAGGAAATGCGCGTTGTCCGGGATCCTCCGGCGCAGGCCACCTGCGCGCGGGGCCGGGAAGGCGCTTGGAGGAAATGTCCCGCGCCGCGACCCGGGACAGGCAGTGATGGAGCAGGGATTTCGTTTGCCTTTTAGTTCTTGTATAAAAAGAAGTTTTGACGTGAATATGATTCACGCTAACAGTCGGAAACTCTGGGCGGGGCGCGGTAGCTCACACCTGGGATCCCTGCGCTTTGTGAGGCGGAGGCGGGCGGAGCTCTTGAGCCCAGCAGTGCGGACCAGCCTGGGCAGCGGGGCTAGACCCCATCCCTACAAAAATTACAGCAAGTAGTCGGGCGTGGTGGGCTCCTGTGGTCCCATGTACTCCGTGGGCTGAGGCGGGAGGATCGCCTGAGCCCGGGAGGTCGAGGCCGCAGGGAGCCGAGATCACTGCAGCTCCAGCCCGGTGGACAGCGAGACTCTGCAAAAAAAAAAAAAAAAAAAGCAAGCAGGCCGGGTGCGGTGGCTGACGCGTGTAATCCCAGCACTTTGGGAGGCCGAGGCCGGTGGATCACCTGAAGTCAGGAGTTCGAGACCAACCTGGCCAATATGGAGAAACCCAGTATCTACTAAAAATACAAAATTAGCCGGGCGTGGTGGCGCACGCCTGTAATCCCAGCTACTCGGGACGCTGAGGCAGGAGAATTGCTTGAACCCGGGAGGCGGAGGTTGCAGTGAGCCGAGATCAGGCCATTGCACTCCAGGCCTGGGCAACAAGAGCAAAACTCCGTCTCAAAAAAAAAAAAAAAAAAAAAAAAGGCAAAGCACAATTCGCGTGGGAAGGGCAGTGTGCAGCGTTCTCCGTTGTCTGTTCCGCCCCCAAAAGCTTCCCTCCTTTAGGTTTAACCTGCGCCCCCGCGCTCTGCATCAGCGCGGTCCCCGACCGGTGCAGCTGGAAACACTGGGCGCCTCCCTGCCGGGCCCCTTCCCGCCCCTGTGGTGGTGCAGCCCTGCCTCCCGCAAGACAGCACTGCCTTCGTGCTGGACACAGTTCTATGGTGGAGCCTGGAGTGCCTGTATCACAAATCCCGGAGTTGGGAAGTGCCCACCTTTGGGCCAGTGTGATCCCTGGGTCTTTCCCGGGGTGGTCTCATGCGGCCTTCCACTCCAGTCCTGTGTCCTGTGCCCCGGTTCAGAATACTACAATTATTCTCGTTATTTCATGGGGTTATTCCAGCTTTTCAGTTTCGTCAGTGCCTCATTCCATGAATGCTAACTTTTTTCATCCTCATAGTTCCTAGGGTTGTCTCTGAATTTTCACCCAGTTGCCTACCAAGATGTTGTCTGTGTCTAATGCAGGGGATGGTGCAGGTCTGAATATCTTACTCACAGCTCACCTTTTTGGTGCCTTTGATCCGTGTTAGGAATTATCCACATCTTCTCTCTGGGCAGTATTCTACTTTCTTTTTATATTGACCCAATTATTTTACTTCTTTGGTGTGTCCTTTCTCCTAACACATACGGGTTCACTTTGAAACCTTGAAACCCACATTTACAAAAACATTTTCAATATGAAACATTGTTCCATGACTCATTACTGGAGTACCATCAACATTTACATTTCCAGACCACCCACTGCCCAGTGGTTTTCTTGGTCTCAGTACTCATGAAAACGGTCTGAAGGTTTGTTTTGGGTTCCTAAGTAGTAGACACACGCACAACACTGCCTGTCAGTTATTTCTTGGAAACTAAATCAGCCCTTCTGTTGCCATCCTATCATGCTTCAGGGGTGCCTGTGCTAGTTTTTAATTCTTTGTTCTAACACTTAAATGTTTGCTCAAACGCCCATATTAATACTTCCTCTTAGTTTACAAAAGGATTTACTTTCTTACTGGTTGGGATGAAGCTGCCTGAGGTTGCCACCTGTTATTTTTCCTTCATTTATTGGACCATGTCATCCCATTACATGTCAGCCGTGGAGGTTTTCAAACTGTGGTCCCTGGACATGTTAAAAATGCAAATTCTCAGGCCGAACCAGGACTGAATTGGAAGATCTGGGGTAGGGTCCCCCCAGGACTGAATCAGAAGATCTGGGAGGGTCTGGTGCTGTGCACCCCGACATTCCCTCACTACCCCACTGCCTCTCCCTGCCCTGTGGTCACCACAGCAGCCGCCTCTGCAACCTTGACTATCAGCATGCAGGTCCCAGGACTCGGGGGTCTCCTAACCCGTGCACCCCGACATCCCCCTCACTACCCCACCGCCTCTCCCTGGCTCTGCCTCTGCGTGGCTCCTCTCCTGCTGCCCCCAGAAGGTTTTTGTAAAGCCCGACTCAGGGCGTGCATGGCCTCTCCCTCTCCCACACATGGGCTCCCCGTCCCCTCCAGCTCAGCAAACACACAGCACATCCAGGAGCCACGTGGGACCGCAGTGTCCCATGGCCGGTCCCCCAGATCCCTTGGATGTCTCACTCTGGTGAGCCCCTCGCTCCAGTGCCCTCCAGGAAGCCCCCGTCTCCCCATACAGAAGGGATCTCTTCCCTCCTGAGCCATCGGTGCCCGACCCTCCCTCTCCTCTGTCGCCCCATTTGTGGCAGGTCAGCCACACCCGTGAGCCCCGGAGCTCTGTGAAGGCCGTCACGGCTCCTTATGACGGCGCCCAAACAGTGCAGGCAGCCGGAAGCTGTTCCCTGATGAAAGAAAGGAAGAGGAAAGGAGGAGGGAGGGAAGAAGGCCTTTTCTTGTCCCGAGAGACTTCTGTAGGAATTTTTGGGTGATACTGAGCATGGTAGACCCAGGTCATCTTTCCACGAGAGGGGCCAGAGTACCGCAGGCTCAGCCGCGGTCAGGGGCTCAGGGCGCCGGGGAAGCATTCGCGTGGGCTGCCCCCACGGGCCGCCTTTGCCACCAAGACCCACTCTTCCAGCCAGGCCTTGGGCCGGCCCTGCTTTCCCTTCGGACAAGGTCTTCAGTCCACCGAGAGGATGGCCCACCTCCTGCCCCTGGGTCAGTGCGCAGCCCCAGGGAGGAGCTGTGTGAACCTGGGAGGTGCTGGGGAGCAAGGGTGCTCCACCAAGGGAGGCAGGAGGCCGGAGACCAGCCCGGCCCAGGAGGAGCCTGGCCAGGAGTCCCACCAAAGCCACTGGACCCGGGGAGCCTCCAGTGACCCAGCCTTGTAGGGTCAGCACTGTCCCTAGGACAGAGTCTGCTTCGTACACAGGTCTCGCTGTCTGTGGAGGCTTCAGGCCCCGATGCCTGGGCACACGGACTGACGGCAACCCTCGGGGTGGGAGGCCCCAGATGGGACTTCCTGGCCTGCCCGGGGTGGCGGGGGGGCGGGTGGGAGAGGACGGAGCGTCTGTGTGCATGTGTGAGAGCCTCAAGGACGGCATGTCTGTGAAGATGGCTTCACCCAGCCGCGGCTGCCTTCCGTGTGTGGGCAGCGGTGACGGAGCCGTGACCTCACGGGACAGCCTTTGCCGTGTGGTTTTCCCGCCTCTGGTCCCTTTCCTGGGCTGAGGATCCTGGCTCTGGGGCTCAAGGTGTGGGGTTCGCCAGCACCGGCTCCTGCCATAGACATCCTGGTGGCCCTGGCACAGGCCTGTCCTCCAGCATGGTTCCTAGACCCACCACGCAGGACTCCTAGGCCCCTGAGGGTTGGCAGGAGTGAGGCAGGCAGTCACCAACTGCCCTTGGGTGAGGCTGGTGGCCAGGGGGGGACCCAGCAGGTGCAAGCCAGGCCATCCCCAGCAGCCGCCGGAGCCCATGTCTTTCCCACCGCACAGCACAGCCAGGACATGGGGGTCAGGCCATTACTTACGCTTCTAGTCCTTACATCACCCACAACTTACCCCTGACCTGTGCCTGGCTGTGGTGCCCGCAGCCTGGGCTCCACATAAACACAGGCCAAGAAGTCCCATCTGCAGCCTCCCACCGCAAAGGTTTCCGGCAGTCCGGGCTCCCCAGGCACCGGCTCTGCAGCCCCCACAGACAGAGAGACCCCTGTGTGAAGTCCGGGCTCCTCAGGCACTGGCCCTGCAGCCCCCACAGACAGAGAGACCTGTGTGTGAAGAATCCGTTTGAGGGACAGTGCTGACCCTCCAGGGCTGGGTCACGGAGGCTCCAGTGGCTTTGGTGGGACTCCTGGCCAGGCTCCTCCTGGACTGGGCCTGGGCTGGTCTCCGGCCTCCTGCCTCCCTTGGTGCAGGATCCTTGCTCCCCAGCTTCCCTGGGAAATCCGACGCCTTCTGATCCTGCATGCATCCGGCACCCCTGACGCTGGCGGAGTTGCCTTTCTGCGTGTATAGCTCCTAACAGGGCAGCACAGCTGTTCTGAAACCTCACACATCATCACTGGGGTGGCTGAGGCTGGGCCACCTGGTGTTCACCTCCTGACCCTGGAACTGTGCAGAGAACCTCTCTTCAAATAGGAGGCAGGTCTTTGTGGCTGTGTTTAAGTTAAAGATCTTGAGATAAGGAGGTCATTCTGGATTAACTCGTTGGCCCTACATGCACGGCAAGTGTCCTTACACAGAGGCAGAGGGAGGTTAGACGCAGACAGAGGAGGAGGTCGCCTGGAGACCGAGGCAGAGGTGCAGCATTGTGGCCGCGGCCCAGGGACGCCTGGAGCCACAGAAGCTGGTGGAGGTGGCAGGGTCCTCCCCTGGAGCCTCTGGAGGGAGCACGGCCCATGGACTCGATTTCAGACCCCTCCCTGCTGAGCGGGGAGAGAATGAGTCCCTGTTGTTTTGAGCTGCCGAGACTGTGGGGATCTGCCATGGCAGCTCCAGGACCCTCAGACCTTCGGCTCAGAGCCCCTCTAGCACTGAGCAAGACGACCACTCAGGGCCGCCCCTCCCCGCCCAGCCAGCATGTGCCTCGCTGCTCACCCGACCACGCAGCCCTCAGTTACAGATGCCTGCCCGGGATACGTGGGACGAGGGCTGCGGCTTCCCTGGGGACGGGGTGCGTGGAGCCTGCCTGCAGCCGTGTTCCTGTTTACGTGCTGAGTGAAGCTGGACCTGGGTGGGATGGGGCATTCTGCCCAAGGGTCTCTTGGGGGGTCCATGAGGACTGTGTTCTGACGATACTGCCCTCCTTCCTGAGGCTGCCGTGGGGCTCCATGGAGGCCATGGGGTGGTGAGGATGGAAGAACACCTAGGCTGGGCTCCTGGGACCCCAGCAGCAGCTGAAGGCACTTGGAGCACCACAATTCCCACCCACGGGCCAGGCAAGCCCAGAACCGTCCCCAAAGAAGGGAGCAAGGAGACACGGCCTTTTAGTGATAATATCATAACCAAAAAGTTCTTTAACATTTTTTCATTTTTTTCTGTCACTCAATATTTTTAAAATTATATGTCCATTTTTTTTATTATTTCACCCATCTAATCATTGCCATCTATACCAAACAAAAAAATCTATGCACCGGTGTTCACAAAGCATTTAAGATGCCTGTGAAATGTAATAAGAACTAACTGCAGCTGCACAATATTCCCTCGTATGTATGTTATCACCATGCTGACGCTGGGCACTCAGAGCATTTAAAGGTTTTTATTATAATG